>NC_000003.12:125826786-125978301 GCF_000001405.40 Homo sapiens | reverse complement strand
GTAAACCTATGAAAATTTAATAAAATGTGTTCATTTTTTTATCTTCCCGTTTGTGATTTTCCCGTCCTGATTGACAACTCATAGGCCTCTGCTGCTTACTTTCCTTTCCTCCTCAGAGGATAGTGATTTATTCAGTAATAAATGCTATAAAGGACAATGAAGAAAAAAAGCCACAAATGTCCTCTTGTTCACTTCTCTTTAAAGCAATGATAAACATTGTAGGGGAAGCTATAGGAAAAGTTGGACTACAATATTTCTGCTAAATTTTCTCAGAAACAAACGTGTCAAATATGCATTCCAAGCATATTTGAGAAGAACAAGATTATGTTTAGATATGCTGAATGATTCAGACTACCTTTTCATACCATTTGTTTTTGGCAGAGGCAATTATTTTCTCAATAATTTTCAAACTTTTATGTATCTCAGGGATTCTTTTTAAAAACCATGTTTTTGATTCATTTTATTTTAACAATGTTTAACAATGTAAGTCCACATATAAGATACCCAAGCTTTAAATATCTATACATATAAACTGATTTCAACATCTTTGGCTTCAAAACAGTAAAATTGTTTTTCCAATATCAAACAAGTCAAATTTGGAAAAGGCATAAATCTGTATGAACATCCTGTATCCATGGAGATGTCATGACTAAATTCAGAAATAGCCTCATCTCTCTTTGTTTTTGCTTTCTTATGTCTGAGTTCTGCATCCAATTCTGTTTATTACATAGTTTTCTATAAGATTGTACCCCTTTTAAACAGTGTCTATTGATATATATTCTAGGTGTCTGGAAGTCTTTTTCTACAGTCGGCTCTTGGTTGTCTCTGGGAATATGAATGGAAGGAGCAGAGTGAAAATAAATCTGAGGGCAATATTCATAAATAATCCAAGAGCTACACTGTAGTCAACTCTCCCCAGAGCCTGACCACAGTGTTTCCCTCTCTCCTCCTCCCAACCCCTGCCACTGCCTGACGAGCACAGAAATGACCTTGCTTTAGAGAGGAGAAGGACAATAGGAGAAGAGGCATGTTTATCATCAGCCCTGCAGAGTTGACCGCGTGTATAGATGCACTGCCCTTCCAGGCCCAGAGGGAGATTTCCCCTTCAGGAACAAAAAACAGTCAAGCTAACTTACAACTCCCAGAGCGCTGCAAGCAAGGGCTAAAAACTTCAGCCACTCGATCTCCTCCGTGAAGCGACCCACATTCATCACACTATTAAACAGATCTGTTGGGAGATTCACCACTTTCCACATCTGGGCCAGCTCCTCTGCACGGATGATCAGTCTGCCAGCAACCTGCAG
This sequence comes from Homo sapiens, assembly GCF_000001405.40. Classification (NCBI taxonomy): domain Eukaryota; kingdom Metazoa; phylum Chordata; class Mammalia; order Primates; family Hominidae; genus Homo; species Homo sapiens. The sequence goes on along the minus strand of NC_000003.12, from coordinate 125,976,997 downwards.
GGCAGGGGACAGACACAACACAGAGGTTGTGGGAGAAGTTGAGACAAGGCCCTGAGAAACACCCTGTCCCCAGGCCAGGTCCACATCTCCCAGCACATGGCAAGGGGCGGGAGGGGGTGTTAGGAAGGTAAAGATGGCTCTGTGTGGCAGTTACCTTTGCAAATCCTAGTGAAGAGCATGCTGAAATATAATTTATTAATTGTCAAACTTTAGGTGTCAGAATTATGCAAAAGATATACATTTATATTACATTTTAATTTCTGGTGATGCTTTTATCTGCTATTGTATTCCTAAATTGTTTTATTCCTTATATGACAGATAGAAGAGCCTGAAAACAAAACCAAGGGGTAGAGGGCTTACCTGAGACCACTAATTAACGGTAAAATTAGAACAAGACATAGGTCTGTTTCTTCCCGATTGCACTGAGTTCTTAGCTCTAGACCTCAAGTGCATCCCTCATGCTTTCCCAGGAATGATATGGGGTATGTGGCTGACCCACGGGGATTTGATCTGGCTGCCTAATGTTACTTGATCCCAGGTATTTTAGAGCTCTGTCATGTTCACTGCACAAGGTGCTTGGTGGACAAAAGGAGAGAAGATGACTGGTTGTTGGCCACCAATGCAACAAGAGCACAGATGCCCGATGAAGTGCTCCAACACCTTTCCTGACTGTCTGATTCTAGTGAAATGCTAAGCCTCTGGGACCAAGGTGGTTAGCCAAGCCAGTCCTAAATCACCCCAAACCGCTCTGTCCTGGATCATAAAGCAGGGTTTGGTGGTGCTCAACCATATTTCCTGGGAATTGGCCAAACCACAAACTTTCTCAAGCCGGACCCTCCTCATGCATTCATTCACCAGGCAGCTCCCAGGATGATGTGGCTATGAAGAGGCTCACAGCCTCTCCCTAAAAGCTAAAAGCAATGTCTGGACCTGGGATAACTGGGGAGCTAAAATATGCCCTTCCCCAAACTGTGATTGGCATCATATTATGGTCTTGATCAGTAAGGAGACACTGTCGAGTGACTGAGGACCTGCACTTTTCTGGAGAGACAAGATTAGCATTGCATTGAGCCCCTGTACATTCTGCCAGCTTCAAGGAAATCTGGGATGACCCCACCAATGACTCAGCCTGCAGCCTATTTCAAAATTATTCCCATTTCCCCAAGGGAAGATTTACTTTCAGTCCACGGTTTAGTGTATTTTAGGGTGGTGCTAAGTGGTCAGCTGACTGGCAGGAGAACAGAGGGCTTTCGTCTGTACCCACCCAGCCTCAACACTGTCCCTACATTCTCCTCAATGCTGCAGCAGGGCCCTTACCTGAGAATGCAGGATCTTTAACAGCTCAGGTGTTAGCTCTGCCCAGTTACACAAAGCGACTCGCTCAGACCGCTCTCTCACCGGAGGCGTCTCTCCACGGGACAGGGCCTCAAAATAACTACAAGAAAAAAAGTCAGAGAGTAGGAGGATCCTATACACCAGTGGCCTCTGGCTGTTCTAGCAATCCTTCCCCCTTCTTCTGAGGGAAGGAGGTAGAGAAAGGAACCTTTGTAAAGTGGCTTCTATGTGTCATTGTGTTTAGTTCACTTACATATGGGAAAAGTCTGAATGTGTTACTCTCCACTTAGGGCACAGAGAATGCTTAGAGAATACAAAGCTTTGTTCTTCTCTAAGGATGAGGAAGAACCAAGAAAAGTTTGGGTATGCAATTCCCTGGAGCATATTGGGTTCAGGGTTTTTTTCCAGTCATCTCTGAATGTTTTATACACACAGATATATGTTACATGTGTATATATAATCTTGGGAAGAGAAGTTGGAAGAGAACTAAAAAGTAATGTACGTAAGAAAGGGGAAGGCAGCACAGGAATGGTGGCTACGGCCTGTAATCTGGCAACTGCAGAGCCTGAGCCTGGAGGACCACTGAGCCCAGGAGTTTGAGGAGGCAGCGAACTATAATTGTGCCACTACACTCCAGACTGGGTGACAGAGTAAGACCCCCATCTCTGAAGAAATGAAAAAGGAGGAAAGGGAAGAGATGGAAGCATCCTGGGGTGAATCAGGAAGGATTTCTGGCCGTATGTAGTGAGGCTTGGGGCTTCAAGAGGGAAGGGAGAGAGGGTTGGCAGGGCACTGTGCAAGGCTCAGGAGAGAAGAGAAGCCAAAGAAGGTTTGAGACAACCTTAAGCTATATGGTGCCTGTAAAATAAAACTGTTTCTCCATCTTCCCTCAAAATTTTCAGTGAAATCTGCCTGCTCCTCAATGTTTTGTGGAGTGGACTTTGTTTGGGGGCATTGTGGAACAAGTACTGAGTTCTGTTTCAGGACTGGCATAAGATGAAAAGAGGCTGCCTGCAGCAGGGAATGGACATGAGCCGCTGACATGTGGGTCACCAAAGCAGCATGGCAGGGTCTGTCTCCATCAAAAGCCTGGTTATTGACGATCCATGAACCACAAATTTCTGTTCCGCCCTGCTTTTTTCCCTCCATTACTTCCTCCAGATCCAGGTAGTATGAAAATAATATAGAGGGAATTTTGTAAAAGCCCACTTTAGGGTCAAGCCATACAATGATGGGCTAACGATTGCCTGTCTCTAAGCCACATAGCAAGGCAGAGTGAAAGCTACATGGACTAAAGGAGTAACTGCCGGTCACCACTTGGAGGTCATCAGCAGGAAGGGCACCTTTAACAATGTGCTTGAGAAATCTCTGCACACAGATCAGTGTTGGGGTGGGCGGGGTGTGGGTGCACTGTGACAACAGGAGCAGGGTGTGGACTCAGGCTTTATAAACCAGACTTCCAGACTTGGGTGGTATAAATGGGAGGGACAGAGACACACAGCACCTCATTCCACAGAAGTGCTGCCCGGGTAGAGTAACACTCAGCAGCAACATCTCTGGACTTCTTGTGGAATTGGTTAGACAACATGGAAGCAAAGCTGTAATCATGGATTTCATTCTTTGGGTTATTGAGCTTCATTTGCAAGTGATCAGGTCCATGGTTATACACATATATTGCAAATTTGAGTTGTAACACATGCCTACCAGAGGACAAATAAGTATATGTCCTGCCAATACCTGGTAAGAGGTTTCTTCATTGACAACACATATGTAGGGAAATTCTTACTTGCAATGGATTAAAAACGTATTTTGTCTTGGAAACACTTTGCAGAGTTTTATTCTCTAAAATGCTACAGGTTTTAAGTAAGTCACATACAACCATCTGAGCAGTGCTTTTCATGTCTGGATAGAATGGAGGGGGCTCTTAGGTCATGCCCTCCTTTTTCATTGTGGTTAAACTACAAACTAAGTTTTCATGGATGTCTAAAAAAATTATAGCACGTGATACAATACGAGAGCAAGCAGTCTACAATAGTGGAATGCCTCTTCCATAAATGTCAGGGACAATACTAAGCAATGTCATTTTGCTTACTATAAAACGGCAGCACAAGAACAATCAAATGGGTTTGAAACTAACGTATAAGATAAAGTCTGTCTATCTGACTATGCCAAAATAAATTAGTCTTCTGAAGCTAAAGTTCAATCTTAGAGGCAATATATAAAATTTAGAATGGAAAACTAAACAGGGCTTATTACTAGGCAAAGCAACCCCCATTTATGTTTCTTTTTATGAGCACCACTGGCCTATTTTCCTTCCAATTGTAAAAGCTGCATCCTAATCCAGACCAGGAGCACAACACTGGCCCAGAGACTCCGAAAGGCCCCTCTTAGGTGCCATTTTGTGTCTTCTCAAAGGTGTCCACACTCTCCCCACCATCTGCCCAGGACACCCACTCACAACCTCAGCCTGAGGACATCTTCCCTTCCCCAACTCACTGGCTTTCTCTCAACGGCCTCTCTCACTCTCACTTTCCCACTGAAACCCTCCTAAGCAGGGAATCATCAAACAGTAAAAATAGCCTGAAAATGGTCCGTGAGGTCTAGTTATCTTCCAACTCCTGTCTCAAGTCCTGGTTCCCCAGTTTCAAGCAGGCAAGTTTGTCCAAGGAGCAATTTCATAGCTGAGAGGCTTTCTGTGCAAAGCTACTTCAATCCAGGCCCGCAGCGATTGTTGTGTAAGCTCCATCTACTGAGCAGCCTCTGGAGGTCTCTCCTGAAAGAAGGCACCCGTGTTTGAGGCACACTGTTTTCAGCCATGCCTGAGGACCCCATCACTCTGCCTGGCCTTTCCCCAGAATGCAGTGTGTACTGTGAGGACATCATTATGTTGGCAGAACAAATCAGTTCAGAGAAACACCAAAGAAAATAACAATAATTTCCTCAAAGATACAAAGCCTCTTTGGTTGGGTCCAAGTATGAGTTTTAACAGCAGGGGAGGAAGTGTCTCCTTAAAGGAGTGAACTAGCAGGACTGGTCCCACCCCATCCACCCAGGGCTGTCGCTTCCCTCCCCCGGCTGCACTGCTGCCATCTAGTGGTGAGACAGGAGAATGAAGAAAGGCAGATTAAGCTGCGGAGATTCCCAGCCCTTCTTTCCACCGAGAGTGGGAAAAGGCGTGCAGGGAGGAGGTGGGTGTGCATACGCTGGTGTGACGCGGTCATCTAACTTGCTGCTTGCCCCAGGACACGGCCTATTGACCTGGCGTCCTACTGCTCAATCTGGCTCGCTTAGGGGAGGCATCCCATCCTTGCCCGGCTAGATGTAGTATTTATGTGTGGATTTTAAAGCATCAAAGCAATGCAAGAGCTAAAACAAAGACGATGCCAGTTAGTCCCGACCCCCTGGCTGCAGCCATGACAACCTCCGCGGTTTTACAGGACCCTCTCTCCCCGCCCGTCCTCCAAGAGATGAAGGCGAGAAAGGAGCACGTACTCGGCCCCCCACTGGATGAGGTCCTGCGGCTGCGCCCGAATGGCGGCTTTGGCAAACTCCTTCAGCATTTTCGGCAGCTCCGGCGGGATGCATGTTGGCTTATCTGTCTGAGCCATTGATTGGTTGACCTATTCTCAGGAGAAAAAATACATAAGATGAAAACTTGGACTCATAAGATGAGAGCAATCCTGGACAGGAGGTCACCCAGCCTCTGTTTGACACTCAATTTTGGGGACTCCGCAAGACAAATGCATTCTATTGTTACACAACGGCAAGGTTAGAAAGCCGTCTGCTAACCCCTACTTTTTGTTGTAAATAGTTATATCCTTTACGTAAAAATTACACAGTCCTTTTTTATTTAAAAAGTGGAAGTCAACAAAAAAATCCCTAATGGTATCACCCTAAAATATTGGATGTCTCCTTCCAGAATTTTTCAGTATAAATATATATGTTTGTAAAACAAAAAAATAAGATTATGCAAAACAGCTTATTTACTCAAAAGTATATCATGAACATCTTTGCATGTCATCCAGCTCTTATTAGCTAGGTAAGAATTGTAGCAAAATTTACTCTGAACCCTCTATGAATTAACATTAGGTTATTTCCATATAAAAATAGTCATTAAACAGCCATTTGATGAGCGTCTCTGTTTATAGCTGCATGTTTTTTCAACTCTAATTGTCAGGCGGAAAACTCGTACATTTTCTCTCAAAAAGTTCCAGGACAAATTGAAACAAAACATGAACATCCATAAAATATATACAATTCCATCCACAAATAAACAACAGATCAAAAGATTTTTTTCTGCTTTTAGTAGAGAAAGGGACAGACTAGATATGCTAAAAAGCTGTCCCTCTTCAAAACACCTAGAGGCCAGACAAATCTCAGTACAAGCCTTTCACATTGCCTTGCTGGGCTTGCAGTGAAGTGAGAGAAATCTTCCAGTGGCCAATGAGGTGAGGAAAGGGGAACCCGCAGTGCTGGGCAAATGAAGAAACTAGGGCTCACCTGGGCACATGTAGATGGCAGGAACTTGAAGCTTTGAGATAAATTGCTAGGCAGGGTGGATAGAGACCAAGGATTAGGCTCACAAAAGGCAAATGTCTGGACTAAAGGACTCCCCTTCTGACCTAAACTTGAGACCCGCCCAGGGACTACACCCTCAGCGTGAAAAGGTGTGGCTGAAAATATCTGCCTACAGGCTGGGGTAAGCAACAAAGAAACCTGTCTCCATTGCTGCTTCTAGTCAGGAGAGAAACAGTCCCCCAGGAGTTGGTAGCCACAGACTAGTTCTAAGTTTTCCATTTATACCAACACCAGCATGGCTCGGAAATCCCAAGACAAGAAACTAAAGTGGTCTTAGATTGGTGGGACTTCATGACCTTTTACTTTATTTATGTTCTTTTATTTGGAGGAAAAGGATGATAAAATAATGATTAATTTTAGACTTTGCAAAGTATTAGAAAAGTTTTAACAGTAATAACCACTAAATCTGTACAGAGGAAAAAAGGATTTTTTAAAATTTTTTTAGTATTTATTGATCATTCTTGGGTGTTTCTCGGAGAGGGGGGAAGAAAGGAATTTTTAAAAAACACAAAAAAGCAAACAAAACATGCCTCCCAATGTGAAATGGCAGCCCAACGTATACCTGCCAAGTGCTGAAGAATGTAGGTCTTAAAATAGACTGTATAGTCTTGTTTCAGGGATTTCTCACTTGTTTTTATTGGTATGGGCTAAACAGGGCTTCCATTTCATAAATGAAAGTCTCCATTACATGAATGAAAGGCTCCAGGGCAGAATCTCAGAGGGTTTCTATGAGCGGCTTGGAACCAAGCACAGACAACTGCACATCCCTGTTTGGGTTCGGAATTGGAGGTGGTGGGTTTGGGATGTGGTTACTCTTGTTTGGAATGCATTCTCCTCCTCTTAACAGGTTGATTCTTCCTTTGGAGGTCTGCTTAACCTTCCCTGATTACCCTGTCAGTTCCATTGTACATACCCTTCCAGAGCATCACTTACCTATCCTTAGTGTGATTCTTTGAGTAACATGTGTCTCCCCCAGCAAACTCCACGGCAGGACTGGTCAGTTTTTGCTCACCACACCATCCCAGTGCCTAGCCCAGTGCCTGGAACTTAGTGTTCAATAGGTACTAGTAAAAATGAATGCGTGATAGCAGTCTATGAAGTGCTAGCTATAAAATGAACACGTGATAGGAGTCTATGAAGTGCTAGGTATAAAATAATGCGTGATAGGAGTCTATGAAGTGCTAGGTATAAAATAATATGTGATAGGAGTCTATGAAGTGCCAGGTATAAAATAATGCCTGACAGGAGTCTATGAAGTGCTAGGTATAAAATAATGTGTGATAGGAGTCTATGAAGTGCTAGGTATGCCCATTGGTCCACATGACAATTCACCCAGAGGTATTTTTATATCCCTGTCGCTGATGAAAAAGCAGAGGTGTGGCTCCTCGGTGGAGGGCTCTGATTCCAAACTCTTGAGCCTCCCAACCACTGTCCTCCGGGTAAGAAACCGTATAATAGTATTCTGGGTACAAAATACGCACACAAATTGGCCAGAAAGCCATAATCCCCCACAGTCACATTCTCTTGAAGATCCCCTTGCCTTCCCCTTGCCCTCCCCTTGCCCTGTGAACAAGGAGAGGCTCAGAATCCAGGGGGCGTCCGGCAGGGCTCCTCCCTCAGACCAGCGCAGCCCTCGGGGCGCTCAGAGCCCTGCCCTCCCTCCACTTCCCCTCGGGGTGGCTACCTCAGGCTCGCTCCCAAACCGGCTGTCTGGCTTCAGGCGACACCTGGCGCCTGGCCTCAGGCGAGAGGTGTGGGGAGAGACCGAGTGCCTCCCACCCTTCTTAAGAAGGAGAGCAGTAGAACCTCGGCGGGGAGGGCAGCAGCGGCCGGGGGTGACAGCAGCGGCGGGGCACGACCGCCGTTAGCGTTAGACGTTAGCGCTCCGCCTTCGCCTGGCAAACCCTGCGCGGGCTCCGCTGCCAGGTCACCAGGGGTAGCGCCGGGCGCGACGTCACAGAGCCGCCCCGCCTCTCCTGCAGCGGCGGGTTCCCAGGGTCCCGCTAGGGCGCTGCTAGGGGACGCTGAAAGCTGTTTTGGGCTTTGCTGGTGGTGGAAGGACCAGACGGCCTGGAGGGTTAAGGACTGGGCTGGGGACGTTAGGAAACCCGGGCTGGGGGCGTTGGGGGTGGGGCGGAATGTGTAGCCATTGACGGTGCGCTTTTGTAGGTGAGAGGGCAGAAGTGGAGCTTGATCTTTCGGCTTGTGGAAAGTGGACAGGTGAGAATTCCTCAGGAATCATAGCAACAACACCTCTTACAATGCGTTTTTGGTGCCAGGAATTGTTCTAAGTGCATTACACACATGAACTCATTTCATCCTTACTGTCACCCCATGAGGCAAGTACTATTGTTATCCCCATTTTTACAGATGAGGGAACTGAGCACAGAGAGGTTAAACTTGTCCAAGATGACAGTCAGCAAGTGACAGAGTCAGGATCTGAATCTGGGTTGCGTGGTCCCAGATTCCTCACTCTTGACCTTATAATGCTAAGAAAGGGGCATGGAGTGGATAGGAACAGAGCCTGAGATGCCTGGGGACAACAGGGAAAGATAGAAAATATTTATAGGGTAGAATGTGGTCACTGTGCCAGGGCACTTTTACAAACATGATGACATCAAAGTTTCACAGTAAACTCTGAAGGTAGATATTACCTTCGTTTTAGAAAACAGGCTCAAGGCTTCGAGTAATTTTGCCTGTGATCAAACAGCTGGCAGTAGGGCCCAGGGCCCAACTTGTCTCCAGGTCTTCTGATTTCAAGACTGTTGTTTTTGTTTTGTTTTGTTTTGCTTTGCTTTGTTTTGAGACAGAGTCTCACTCTGTTGCCCAGGTTGGAATGCAATGGGGTAATCATGACTCACTGCAGCCTCAATCTCCTAGGTCTAAGCAATCCTCCCACCTCAGCCTCCCAAGTAGCTGAGACTACAGGTGTGTGCCACCACACCAGGCTAATTTTTATATTTTTATAAACAGGGTTTTGCCGTGTTGCCCAGGCTGGTCTTGAACCCCTGGGCTCAAGTGATCCACCCCCCCTTGGTCACCCAAAGCACTGGGATTACAGGTGTGAGCCACCGCACCTGGCCTCAAGACTGTTCTTTTTAAGCACCCAAAGAGGCAAGAAAAGCCCCATCTTTCTCTGCTACACCCCGTGTCACTTCACACCCATATGAAAGCTGCTCATTGCATCATGTAATCCTTCAGTCCATTTATACTACAGTGTGTATTAGTCTAAATCAATTAATTCACCCAGGGTCTTCAGAGCTTTCTCTGGTTGTGAGATGAAAGCCTTTGTCTCTCCCTAAAGCAATTTTAAGCATCAGTGAACAAGTGGGGGAACTAGATTTTTGGCTTATGCATGCAGAAAGCTTTTCACAGCCTGTTGTCATCCATTTGTAAAGAGGCCACTCTGCTGGCATTTGTCAAAATCCTGCAGGTCCTTGCACACCTGGAGAATCCTGGATGGTCTGGGGACGGCCACTGCCCACAGGGCAAGATCTGGGGATGAAAGAAACCTAGTCACTAGCTATCACCTATCTTTCTGAGGCCTCTGTGGAGGGGCTACCAGGTGTTGGTACAGGCACCTGACCAACAGAGTGTGCCTTAGGTTGGGAGGGGGAGGCTGGAGGCTTGAGGGCTGCAGGTGCATCTTCCAGGATAACAAGAATGCTCTGGCCACTGGAGTCTGTTCTGTTGTATGCACATGAGATGAAGGTGTGCCAATCTCTTCCTGCTTTCATGCTGAGTAAATAATACTGACAGGAATGAATAATAATGATCTTTGTGCAGAAGAACAGGTTTTTCAGACAAAGCACTAACAGCTGGAGATGGAAGATGAAATAAAATAGAATTTTAGAGTAGCAGGTTAAACACAAGGGAGGAATTTCATAGCACTGTCTGACTGAGGTGATTTGATGTCTGTCTGTAGGAGGCCAGGTTGAGAGGCGTAGGTTAGATTATCCTTGATCTATCAGTCAATAAATAACAGGATACAATAAATAACAGGATACAGTCAAGAGAATATAATTTTACAGGGAAACGATAATAACACAATTCAGGAAAGTTGCTTTCTTCTAAAACAGAGGTAAGAGTAGAGAGGGAGGAGCACATAGATGTTACCGGTAGTGGTCCAGCTCTTGGGGTGGATGGTGGGTTCATGGGTGTTTATTATGTTTCAGTAAAAAAATCTGTCTTATATATTACAATAAAAACTTTTATTACATAAAATCTTTTATCAAGTAGGTTACATTGTTTTCTGCTATTTTCTTGTACAAATGAATATCCTTTCTTATCATTTCCCTTGTTCTACTAGATAATTCCCATCAATATACAAACATGCTCTAATTTCTCCCATCATTTTCCTCTTCAGCTTTCACCCATTTCTCTGCTTCCCTTTATTGCCAAGTTCTTTAAAGAGTTGCCCATACCTGCCACCGCTAATTTCTCTCTTCCAAATCTCTTTTTAATCTACTTGAACCAGGCTTTCATCCCCATCACTCCACTGAAATGACTTGTGTCAAGGTCCCCAGTGACATGCTGTTAAATCCAACATCATCTCTCAGCCTCGGCTCAACCTATCAGCAGCATTTGATCCTGTTGATCACTTTCGCATGATTGAAACACTTTCTTTCCTTGGATTCCAGGACATCACACTCTTGGTTTTTCTCCTTTCTCATTGGCTGTTCTTTTGCTTGTTCTTCCTCCTCTCCCTGACACTTTAATCTTGGAGTGCCCCAGGATTTACACTTGGACTTCTCTATCTACATGCACTCTCTTTTTTATCTCATTCAGTTTCATGTTTTGGATATTACATTTATGTCTTCAGCCCTAATCCTTCCCTAAACACCACAGTAGAACATCCAACTGTTTACTCTGCACCACTGGATGTCTAATAGGCTTCTCAGACTTAATACACCCCAACTGCACTCCAAGATTCCTCTCCAAACCAGCTCCTCCAGGCTTCCTCATAGCAAAATATAGCAACTGTAAATTCTAGTTGCCCAGGCTAAAAACCTTGGCATTATCCTTGGCTGCTTTTTCTCTCACACCTTAAATCCAATCAGAGCAAATGCTATTGGCTGTATCTCCATAAGTCATTCAGAATTGGAGCACTTCTCTCCACTTCCATCACCTTGGTCCAAGCAAACCTCATCTCTCACCCGGACCACTACAATGGCTTCCTAACCCATCTCCCTGTTTCCGCCCTTCCCTTCCGATGGTCTGCTCTCATCACAGGTGCCCAATCAAATTACTGAAAACCTAAGACTGATCATGTCATTCCTCTGTTTAGAACCCTCAGTGGCTGCCACATTATGCAAGTAAAAGTCAAAGTAACCCACAGGCCCTTAAACTCTCTGAACCCATCATTTCCTCTTTTCTCCTTCCTCACTTCCCTCCAGCCATGCTGGCCATCTTATTATCCCTCAGAAAGGCCAGACCCTCTCCTGACTCAAGACTTGTGCACTTGCATTTTGTCTGCCTGGAACATGATTTCCTCAGGTATCCACAGGCTTCACTCGTTAGCACCTTTAGTTTTGTATCCAAATGTGACCTTCTAAGGGAGTCTTATCTGACTCTTTTAAGTTGAACACCAATATCCCTTCCAACTCCTCCCTTGCTTTACAATCATTACATACTATGTATTTTTAAATTTTTGTTTTATTGATTTCTCTATATTTTTTCCCTGGAGTGCATGGGATTCTGTTTGTTTTAGTCACTGATGTATTTCGGGAGCCTAGAACAGAATTGTGCACATAATGGGCACCATAAATATTTGTTTACTGAATTAAATTCTCCTTTTTTTCTCTCCTTCCACCTTGCTTCCCTTTCCTTCCTTCTTCTAAGAGGCCCTTCTGAAAAATGATACTTCAGTGTCCATTGAGATTTGCATGTTCAGTATCTTAGGGACCAAAGTTCTATTTGGCCAGGTGACGACCGGTCTGGCACCAGAGAGTGGGAATCCTGACGGTCTTCTCTACCATCTCAGCCTTATACTAAGTATCAACTGTCTCATACTAGCTATGAGCTCAGAAAATCAGTTCTCCCTATCCTGTGTGTCTTATACTGTGGCTCACTTCCCCCAGATCTTAAGTGTGCCATTTCATAGGAGGAAACGAGAGTGACCCTGTCCCACCTGCTGCTTGGATCATGGTGAGGCTGGGGCTGAGCAGTGATGATGGGTACACCATACTCGGGACCTTGGCTCAGGTTCAGCACAATTCTGTGATTTAACTGTGGGGTGTGGTTGTTAGACTCCCCATGGAGCCAATCAACCCTGTGTACATAAACTCCTTTCACATATACATTTGTTTTCTTTTGCTGCATTGCAAATTACCACATACTTAGCAGCTTAAAACAACACAGATTTCTGATCTCAGTTTCCACAGGGCAGGAGTCTGGGTGGGTTAGCTGGGTCCTCCGCTAAGGGTCTTGCCCAGCTAAAACCCAAGTGTTGGCTAGGGCTGTGCTCTCATATGAGCCTTAGGGTCCTCTTCCATATTCATTGGTTGTTGACAAAATTCAGTTCCTTGGGGATGTAGGACTGAAGTCCCTGTTTTCTTCCTGGATTTTGGCCAGGGATTGCTCTCAGCTCCTAGAAGCCACTTTCACGTCGCAGTTCCATGGCCCCGGAATGGCAGTTTATTGATGTTTGCTTTCTTCCAGGCCAGCAGAGGCATCTGTTGTTGTTTCTTTTGTCTGTTTTTTAAGGCTCACCTGATGATGATTAGGTCAGATCCACCCTTTTGACTAACTCAGAGTCAACTGATTAGGGACCTTAATTATATCTGAAAGTTCTCTTTTGCCACATAATATTAATTACAGGGGTGATATCTCCTCATATTCACAGGTCTCACCCACACTTACAGGGGTGATGAGATTATACAGGGCACATACACCAGGGGGTGGAAATGTTGGAGGCCATCTTAGAATCCTGCCTACCACAATATGCCCCTTTGTGAGAGAAAATGATGAGGTTTGTCATCTCTCCTCAGAGTTGGAACCATTGAGACGACAAGCACAGCTACTCATTGTGGTTCTGGATCCCCTCCTCTTCCTGCTACCTCTGTGTGTAGTCTTTTTTCAGAACCTAGGAGAGCAACACCTCCTATAACCACTCAGTTATGAGAAACAAACCACAAAATTCCACATAAATGAAAATGTCTACCTAATCAAAGTCTACTTCTTTAAGGACTTGAGTGATTGAGGGGAAAAAAGGAGAATTTTACCACTGGGAGGTGGGGTGAGTTGTGTGGACAAGGTTCCTCCCTTCTTGACACCTGTGTCTTCTGTGGCCACCCTGATTCTCCTCAGGACTGCCCTAGCCTTTATGGCACCTTTGCATACATTAGAAGGGGGCAGACATAGCCCCTTGGGCATATGGCCTGACAAGCAGGGTAGGAGCTGAACTTCAGCCCACTCTCACCCCTCAGAAAACTGCCTGGTTTTCCTGCCCCCAGAGCCTTCTATTTCTATCCCACATTATTCATCTTCTAAATATCCACAACACTCCTTGCTGCCCACCATCACCAAAAACAACAACAACAACAAACTTCAGTACTTGGTTTTCTATCTTCCCTTCATGAGAACTACTATCCTCCTATGGATACAAGTTTGCCAGCTAGTTCTCTGCGTGGATGACTCAAATCTACACCTAAAGTCTCAACCTCCCTGCTCAACTCAGTCCCTTGTCCAAATGTCCTGGACCTCATTCAAACAAGTTCACAAAGGGCACATCATCTTCCCCAGGGCCAGCCTCAGACATTCATAGTGCTGTCAGTGGAGACATCCTCCTCCCTCTTATCCCACTACAAACCTAAGAATCACCCTTAGCCACTCCCCTCTGCCTCTCCTCACACAGCCCATATGCTTCTCACCTACAGGCACCGTGCCTTTGTCCATTTCTTGCCGGTCTCACTGCTCCACACTGATCTAAGCCCTTAGCATCTTACATTCACCCTGTGTTTCAGTGGTTTTCTGATCACGGTCTCCTCTGTTTCCTCTCCCAGTGGTTCTCAACTTGGGGGTAGTTTTGCATCTCTAGGGTACATGTGGCAATGTGTGATGACATTTTTGGTTATCACAAGTGGGAGTGTGATAATAGCCTGCTGTTAGCATATGGAGGGTAGGGGCCAGGGCTGCTGCTAAACATCCTACAAAGGAGAGGACAGTCCCCCCAACAAATAATTATCCTACCCCAAATGTCAGTTGTGCTGGGATAAAGAAACTCTGACCTATGTCAATTCCTCCAAGCTTCCTGAATGATATAGCCTTACTCTTCTTAAGAAAATGCACTGTGCGCATATTGCCTCCTCACTGGAAAAACATTATTTCCCATTTCCTATATGCACATGTCTACTTCTGCTTAAGATGATCTCCCCCTTCCTTTTCTATGCCAATATATCTTCCCTTTCTCTTAAAGCCTTGCTGGATAGCAAGCCCTCCAGCCTGTGTGCTGGGCTAGCCTCCATTTGTCCTGCTAGGTCCACTCTGCAGTCTTCTCTAACCTGGTGTCTGCACCAGAATTGTGTCGCCTGGGCTTCCTTGCTCTCTAGTAGCTGGATTTGGCCTATTGGAGGTATCAGCAGGTGATCAGACATTGGGTATTTATTTCCCAACTCCCAAACTGAGCTTCTTGCCTTGCCTCCATAGCCTCAGCTACTGTCTAGCACCCCATTTTCCATGGAACCAGTTCTCATTGGCTCCAATAACATCCTTTCCTCCCTTGCCCTTTCAGGTCTAGGGGTGGTAACAGCTTCCCACAATTGCTAGTCCCTAAGTTCACCACTGTGTTTGGTTCACTCAACTCTGCCCATTCTTCAGTAAATATTTCCTTAGTTAAACTCTCTAGTGTGTGCCATCTGCTTCCTGCTGGATCCTCAATGATGCTCAGTCACTTGAGGATTTTCTCCTCTTGGCTCTCATACAAAACTTACAGTTGGGACCACTCCTCTGTCATTCAGCATGTACGCCTTGATATTGCTGTGATCCACTTACATCCAGTATTTTCATGGTTTCTAACCATGTTGCGAACTCCTGTGGGTCAGGGCTATTTAATACAACATTTCCACTCTCTTCACATAGTGTTGTGCTCAATCAATGTTTGCCAATGAAAATTACAATAAAATGCTGCATAAGGGACTCTAAGTAAAACTGGGGATTTCTCTACTGGCTTCCTACCTTGAAACCTGTATTCCGTCCCTTCAAAGCCCCTTGCTGCGTTATGCTATGCCTCGTCTGCAGGGAGCAAATATTCTATGTGCTCCCTACGTCTAAAGCCCGCTGCTGCATCAAACATGTGCTTCATAAATGCCTTTCTGTTCCACGATTCACTTCAATGAGTTTTTATTTAAATATTTAATGACATAGTAAGTGGTGTAAGTACCTCCTTAGGGAATCTTGGTAAAGTACAGGGATGTAATCAAATGGTTTGCAAATTGTACTTATTTATTTATAACTCTAATTTTTTTGTTATAAAAAATGGTGCCATGGCACTTTTTATTTTCTTTAATCAGAAAAATAACCCCTGCACTTCTGGGATGGAGGCCCCAGGTGAGCACCGGAGGAAGGGGCCTGGATGAGCAGGGAGTGAGGGGGCCTGGGGCCCAGGGCCCAGAGCAAATGCTGCACCAGAGCCTGGTCAGGACCCAGGAGGGCCTGAGGGAGTGGGGTCCTCATGAGCAAGTGCTGGGGTCTGGAGGTCAGCAGCTGCCTGGCCTGGAAGCCAGGAACACCCACTTCCTGACACCTGCGGTCGCCCAGCTGGGCGAGATCAGGCCTGCGCGGCCAGGACCTCTGGTCACAATGCAGGGGTTCAGGTGGCCAAAGCTGCTCTCTGGAGGGCCTCTGGCTGCAGCCCACCCAGTTCCCCTGAGGTCTGGAGACTCAGAGCACCCCCATAAAACACCCCCTCCCTTTTGGGCCAGTGGCATGCCTCGGACTCCAGAAGACTTGAGTGGGGCTCCCTCCAGACCAGGGCCTGAGGGGGTGGCAAACCCTGACCACAGATGGGGGGCGTAGAAGGAGCGGGAATGGGCCCAGGGACAGCTTTGTAGTGTGAGGTCTGCCCGACTGCATCTAGGTCAACAGCCAGACAGGATGCTGCAGGGGACTGTGGGGAAGCCAGGAGAAGGTGCTGCCCATCCTGCAGGCTCCCCCTCATCTGGAGACCCTGCGGGCAACCCTTCAGTGTGTGCCCACGGGGGTGGCGGAGGCAGAGTCCTGAGAGTAATGTGGGAGCCTCCGGGCCCCCTGCAGCTCCTGACCCACCAGATGGGCCTGTGTTCCCCCTGTAGCTTGGGGGCCCTGGAGGTGGACACCAGTACCACCTGACTGCCAGAGAGAGGGGCTGGACTGAAACCCACACCTTCACCATTCACCACTGGGCGATTCTGCCTGAGGGCAAGAATTGCATCTTGGCCAAAGGGGTGGGGCCTGTGAAGAGCAAGGCCTGCAGCAACCACCCCCACAGATCCTTCATGCCCAGCACACCACTCACTCTCACACCCACTCTTGCACACAAGCATACACTCACAGGGTGCATACACCATGCTCACGCACTCTACAAAGGTGGCACAGCTGGGACAATCATGCACGGAGACTCAGAGATGCAAGGACAGTACTGGCAATTTAGAGACACAGACGCTGAGGGGCACCTAGCAAGCTCCCGGCCCTCAGGGGCTGTGTTCCCTTCCCAGGGCATGCACACCACAGGCAGCACACGCAGGTGGGGGCACTGTGACACCAGTGGGAGAGGGCATGGTGGGGTGGCAGGAAGATGCCGGGTTCATCTCTCCTCCTGGCGTGGCGGGCCTCTGCCTGATCACTGCACTGCAGGGGCTCCCGCCTCAGGCTGAGCCTCAATTTCCAAAGGCAAACAGCCTGGCCCTGTCTAGAGAAGGCCTCGAGCTAGTCCGGCAAAGCATCTCTGGCCCGAAGGGTGAGGCGGCCTTGGCTCTCGGGGCCCTGCCAAGATGCAGCTCTAACTGGGGTGGCCTGGAAAACGCATCCGGGAAGAGGCCCGCAGGCATCACGCTCCAGGGCTCACAGATGGGGGCTCCAGGGCTCACAGATGGGGGCTCCGGGGCTCACAGATGGGGCCTGACAGACCACCCCAGGGGCACAGGATCGGGTTCGCCGTGACCTCAGGGGCCAGCAGGGATGGCCCAGGACAAGGAGTGAGAGCCGGGGCTGAAGGGGCCGGCACCAGATCCAACAGGGACTGCAGTGGCTGGCACAGGGGCCCCTGAAGAGGCCGGCAGGGTGCGCCTGGGTACCCCAGGAGCGAAGGGCGATCGGGAATGGGGAGCAACGGCTGGGGTTTGCAGGCTTTGTTGGGGTCCATGAGCGGCCGCAGGGACTGGCAGGGCTGCTCCAGGCCCATGAGCCGCCGCTTGGGTGGGCAAGGCTGCTCCACGCCCATGAGCGGCCGCTTCTGCTGCCTTGGCTGTCCCGGGCCCAGGAGTGAAGGCGTGAGTGGGCCCTACAGCTCTGGGGCTTCCACTAACCACTGGGGCTACCTGAGGCGCAGCAGCGACCGCCGGGGCGGCTGGCCTGGCTCAGCAGGGACCTTCGGGGCTGGCCGTACTGACGTGGGGCTAGGAAGGCCCACCGGGGGCAGCAGCACTGTCCTGGGAGGAAACTGGCGGGCCGTCGCCGTGGTCAGAGGGTGTAGAGTGGCCGTGGGGGCTGGTACCCCCGGCACTGGGCTAGCAGTGACCACAGGGGCCGGCTGCGCTGTCCTGAGGATGCCCTACCAGGCTGGCCACAGTGACACGGGCTGGCCCACGGCCGCAGGGGCCGGCAGCGGTGCCACAGGGTCAGCAGAGACCGCAGGCGCCTGCAGCGGTGCCTTGGGGCCAGGAGGAACCGCAGGCGCCGGCAGTAGAGGCAGGGGTCCAGAAGGGACCGTGAGGCCAGGAGGGACCTGGGAGTGCCCAATGCGGCCGGCAGGGCTGAGCCAGGCGTGACTGTTGGGGCTGGCAGAGCTGATCTGGGCCTGGAAGGAGCCGCTGGGGCCGGCAGGGCTGACCGGGGCCCAGAAGTGACCGCCAGTGCTGGCAGGGCTGTTTCAGGCCCCGAAGTGACCGCCAGGGCCAGCTGCGCTGACCCAGGAGTGGCCGCTGGGAGGGCTGGCAGGGCTGCCAGGAGTAGGGCTGGGAGGGACCCCTGGGGCTGGCCGGGCTGGCTGGGCTGGAGCTGTTCCTGGCGCTGGGCGGGGCTCTTCTGGTCCCAGTGGCTAGCTGGGAGCGGCCCCCCTTCTGGGGAGCACACCTGCTTGGAGGACTGCAGCGGGACCTTCCTCGCCCCATGGCAAGCGGGCTCGAGGTCCTGCCGGGGGCTGCCTGCCTCCAGGGTCCGCCTGGTCTCACTCGGCTCCGCAAGGAGGCAGGTTTCCAACTCCCGGGGTTCTTGATAAGGCGACGTTCCCATTTCTCCTTCCGCTCCTGTGGCTCCAGGGCCATATCTTTCTCAGGGCCTCCAGGGTGCTGAAGCTGGGTATGGCGAAGCCGTCCATGACCTCCTCCTCCTGCGAGTTGAACTTCCGGCCGTCGTGGCGCTAGGTGGGTGGGTGGGGGGGCGCGCGGCACGCGTTCTCCTTGCCTGGGCTGGGCTCGGACTCGTTGCCGGATGAGGGGCTCTGGGCGCGGGCGTGGCGGGTGGCCTCCAAGCGCCGGTCACTGTCTCGCTGCGCACGCGCGGGCGCCGGCTCGGAGGGTACCTTGGCCTCCGTGGCGCTGCGTGCGCCCTGTCGGGCCGGTGACCTTGACGCCCAGCGCCTAGCTCGCGGCAGCCGGGCTTCCTCGGCTACGCGGCGCCGCGGGGCTCGGGCCCTGGGCGGAGGCAGGCGGCGGCCCCCTCGCCGGCGGGGCACGCTGGGCGCGGGGTACGGCTCAGCCCCCGCCCGGCGCAGCCTGGGATCGCTGGCGCCCACAGCTGGGCGTATCAGCGGGGGCGGGCCCGGCGCTCAGCGGCCCCAGGCCGCCCCACGCCCCACGCCCCGCCCTGGGGGGGGGGGCGGGGGGCGCCCCATGCGCGCTGGCGCCGTATTCTGGCCTAGCGGGAGGCGGGCTGATGGGCTTCTGGGCGCCTGGCTCATGAGAATATAACTCTAATTTTAAAAGGACCAGGGTTATGAAAGGGATGTTCACATTTCACAGAAATATTATCCTAAGGAATGAGGGACAATTTTTCCTAGGAAAAGGGGGCAATGCCAGATCATTTCATAGAGTTATTGCGTCTTATCCATCAGTATTGTAATGGTTTTTGTGGGAGCAATTTAAAAAGCTTTTTCTATTTTTGCAATCTATCCATCTGACAAAGGGCTAATATCCAGAATCTACAAAGAACTTAAACAAATTTACAAGAAAAAAACAACCCCATCAAAAAGTGGGAGAAGGATATGAACAGACACTTTCAAAAGAAGACATTTATGCAGCCCAACAAACATGGAAAAAAAGCTCATCATCACTGGTCATTAGAGAAATGCAAATAAAAACCACAATGAGATACCATCTCACACTAGTTAGAATGGTGATCATTAAAAAGTCAGGAAACAACAGATGCTGGAGAGGATGTGGAGGAATAGGAATGCTTTTACACTGTTGGTGGGAGTGTAAATTAGTTCAATCATTGTGGAAGACAGTGTGGTGATTCCTCAAGGATGTAGAACTAGAAACACTATTTGACCCAGCAATCCCATTACTGGGTATATACCCAAAGGATTATAAATCATTCTACTATAGAGACACATGCACATGTATGTTTATTGCAGCACTGTTCACAATAGCAAAGACTTAGAACCAACGCAAATGCCCATCAATGATAGACTGGTAAAGAAAATGTGGCACATATACTTCATGGAATACTATGCAGCCATAAAAAAGGACAAGTTCATGTCCTTTGCAGGGACGTGGATGAAGCTGGAAACCATCATTCTCAGCAAACTAACACAAGAACAGAAAACCAATCATAAGTGGGAGTTGAACAATGAGAATGGACACAGGGAGGGGAACATCACACACCGGGGCCTATTGTGGGGTGGGGGGCTAGGGGAGGGATAGCATTCGGAGAAATACCTAATGTAGATGACAGGTCGATGGGTGCAGCAAATCACCATGGCACATGTATACCTATGTGACAAACCTGCACATTCTGCACATGTACCCTAGAACCTAAAGTATAATAATAATTTTTTTAAAAGTTGTTTCTTCTGCTCTCTGCCAAATATGTCTCCATCTGCCTAATTCTACTGTGAGGGTCTCTGTTTTATCTCATGGCTCTGGTTATTTTCATGCCAAAAATCTACACCCAAAGTCTGTTTCCTCTTTACCAGAATGATGAAGAAGATGATTAGAGAGGAATAGTAGACATTTTGGTTCATAATCCACCTTGATGATTTCATGGAAGGGCGTAGAAAATACGAAGCTGAAATATAGGCTAAGTGACCAGGGCCATGTTGTGATTTTTGTGGGCAGTAGGCGCTTTTGCCTTCTTGGACCTTTTCCTCCATTAAAAAAATGAAAAATCATATTTTATGACTGTTTTGGAATAATGACAAACACATGAATATAATATGTTAAAACATCTTGTGTACCCCTAACAGTATTTTGGTCCCTAGCTACTGTGTCTCCTGTGCCTAATGAATGAGTTGGCCCTGTTTGCAAGCAATGGGAAAAGAATGTAGCTTAACTCCTTTCTCAGAGTCTGAAGATACCAAGGTTCCAATATGTTCTGAATGATGGCTGAGTTGGGAGGTTATAATCATAAATAAGGCAAATTCCTGTTCTTCCTCTGAGAGGCTTTGGGGGGCTTTGGAGGGGTTGGCAGCTATGGACCACAAAGCTTGGGCACCTCCCAAACATGGGCTGCTCATCTCTTCACCTTGTCCTAGAGTGACATCACCTTCTCCATATGTGACAGATAGTGTTACAGTCTCTACTCTAGGAGGTCCAGAGTGACTGTCCCCATTCCATAGATGGGGAGCCTCAAGCATGGTGAGATGAGCCTGGGTAGCTTGCTCTTCTGCCTTGATTCAGATTCTAATGCCTTGCTGCTTTCTTGGCAGCAGGAAGGAAACATCTTTAAAATATTTTTTTTCTGACTGTGAAAGTGACACTGGTTTATTATGAAATTTTGAAAAATATAAGAAATTGAGAGATTTTTAAAAAACAACAACTCCCTTGATCCTTCCTCCCAGAGCCAACTACTGCCAACTGCCTCATGAGGTTGTATAAATGGGTGCACCATACCATGGGTGGGATAGGACTATTTGACTTCCCGGGAGCCAGCCCAGGAGTTCCTGTCATTGCTGCTATTTCTGCCTGATGGCACCTCAACTGTAAAATGGCTGGATTTTATAATATCCTCCCCTCAAATGCTTACAAGCTACAATGTTAACTGGAAAAGGCAGATTGCAAAATGTTTATACAGTATGATCTCAATTATGGAGAAACATGCATAAAAAATTGAGGAAGGTAATAGATAATTATATCAACAGTGGTATTAGCTGTCCCTCAGCCATGGGAGCTCCTGTATGGGTGAGGAACAGCTTTTTGGGGAGATGGTAGTTTTCCAGCACCACATAACATCCCCCAGAAGGCAATTTTCTCATTTTCCTTTGAATAAAATTCCTCCTGTTTTCACTCCTTAGAAGAGGGCAAGAGGAACTGTGATGCCTCCATGCCTGAACCTCAGACCTTTGGAGGTTGTTGTCCTCTTTCATCTCCTCTTCCCTGTGCCCACCCATGAAGCAGCAGCTTCTGCAGACTCCTATTTGTATTCGAGGCTAGCAGTGGGTTTTCCCAGCCATCCTCTGGGGAATATGAATCTATTCTCTACATAAAAGCAAAGATACAATTAAAGCTATGCATCAGAGAGCAATGAAGGGAACTAACAACTCCACATTACCATGGAGAGGATGCTATAGAACAAGGTCAGTTTCTGCTAGGAGACTTTTTCTTACTATTGCCACAAATGCAGAAGAACAGCTCCTGGTGCCTCTGCAGCCACTCAAGCCTGGCTTATCCGAGAGTGACGGGCATCTGCAGACAAAATATTTTGTCTTCCTCAGCAGCTTGATCCAGTGTTTTACCATGTTTCCCTTAGCTCATACCTACATCTTGCCTAGTAAAGTCATCATCCCATGTCTGTTTTCCCTGATGAAGACAAGACAGAGAACATTGGCCTGTGCATCTCCACAGGATAACCTTCCAAAACTTGATGCTGGGTTGCTTCTAAAGTGTCTATATCAAGCCCTGAATATTAGCATACTACCAGATTAAGGAACTTTGAGTCTAAATGGTACATTCAATAATTTAATTCAACAACTATTTGTTTGAACATCTACTATGTGCTAAGCAGGAAAGAAATAGTCAAGGGGAACACAGTCTGCACCAGAAGTCATCAGCATGTGCTACATCAGATGCCGTGTTCAAAGATCCCACGTCCTCTTTTGGTTTTTAAAGTGAGCTTTGAAGTCAGATAAACTTGGGTCTAATTCATTTTTTGCCACTTACTTCTTCTGTTACCTAGGCTAAGCTACACAACTTGCATGAGTCTCAGTTTTGTTGCCTATAAAGTGGGGGATAATAATACCTATTTCACAAGTTGTAGAATAAATAAAATTATTTAAGCAAAGCACAATTCCTAAAGTGGAAGTTACTCTGCAAATGTTGCTCCTTCCGTCAGGTTTTATGATTTGGTGATGAGGACATCAGAGATATTGAATGTCATATAAAATTGGTTTTTAATTTGAAAATGTAAATTTTTACATGTATTTTTTATTTTGTGGATTAACTATAATTCCAAATTGGCTTCCCACAAACTCAGGTTATGACTTATCATTTAATATGCTAGTATTCATTTGTTTATCCAACAAATATTTAAATATCTTTTGTGGCACAGTCAATGTATGTGTGGGGAATAAAAACTGCCTTTGATATAAGCTTAGTCCAGACATGATCAGGAAAGGAAATCTACCATGAAGAAAATCCTGTATGGAAGGCATTTTCAGGACAGTAGAAGATGGGTTCAGAGAAGCAGGGCTACCAGCAGAGACACTCCTCAAATGCTAGCAGAAAAAACCCTAACAAATGCCTGACTGCAGAAGAATCCTGGGAGCCTGGATTTGCCTCTCATTCTTGAATTGCATTTATTCTGGGAACTAAGCAGAGTGCTGTGTCAATCTGCTATGAGGGAGGCAGAATTATAAACAGAATATGTGCTAGAAATAGAAAATGAGACGAAAGATGGCATTTTGGGGCTTTCACGACTTCCCCCAGCCCCCCGCCCTCCTTCAGCAGAGGGAGAAGTCATCCAGTTTTGGTGAAGGCAAAAAATTCAAAAGCCATCATTCCAAGAGCAGTGGAAGGAAGGGAGGAAGTAGAAAGTATGAAAGTGGTGAAAAGTATAGAAGTGGGAAGAGTTGAGTGAGATGTGAATAGAGGGGTGGGAGGGTAAGCTGGCCTCCCGGGCAGATGAGAGGAAACCAAAGAGAAAAGCCCAGGGCTAGGACACAGAATGAAGATTTACCCAGCTGGAGAGAAACTTGAAATAACAAGATAGTAACAACACATGGCCAGACAGGGATTGTGTTGGAAAAGAATTAAAAAGCTTAAACCCGGCTGGGTGCAGTGGCTCACGCCTGTAATCCCAGCACTTTGGGAGGCCGAGGCGGGTGGATCACGAGGTCAGGAGATCGAGAGCATCCTGGATAACACGGTGAAACCCCGTCTCTACTAAAAATACAAAAAAATAGCCGGGCATGGTGGCAGGCACCTGTAGTCCCAGCTACTCAGGAGGCTGAGGCAGGAGAATGGCGTGAACCCGGGAGGCGGAGCTTGCAGTGAGCCAAGATGGCACCACTGCACTCCAGCCTGGGCAACAGAGCAAGACTCCATCTCAAAAAAATAAATAAATAAAATAAAAAATAAAAATAGAAAAAGCTTAAACCCTAAAAATGGAATTAGGTGGGAAGGCTAATGTGACTGTGAGATAAAAGACCCAGGCCTGATCAGTAACATTCCCAGGTAGCTCCATTTACCCTTTTCCCCAAAGCAGACCTTGACCTTCAGCTTTCAAGGTGAAACTTGGCCTTCACCTTTCAAGGCGAATATCTTCAAAGGTATTTTTGAATCTGTAATGAGGTGTCATTTCATCAGGTATGGGGAAGTGTTCTAGCTGTGGTTGAGGAAGGCTTAGTGGGAAAAAGTCTTGAAGTTGGAGGTGGGTTCTGGTCCCAGCATTGCCATCAACTAGATATGTGACCTCAAACAAGTCACTTGACTAGCCTCTGTGAGCTGGGTTTGGATATCATCTCATCCATGAACTGCCTGTTTAATCTTGGTCTATTTACTTCCTTTATCTGTAGGCTTTCACAGCTTTCTTCCCTTCAGCAGAAGGAGAAAAGCCATCCATCCAGTTTTGGTGGAGGCAAGAAATTCAGGAGCCATCATTCCAAGTTAAGTGAAAGGGAAGGAGGAAATAAAAAGTATGAAAGTGGTAAAAAGTATAGAGGTGGGAATGCGATGTAAACAGAAGGGTGGGAGGGTAAGCTGGCTTCCTGGGCCTTCATAGCTAGTCTTCATTTTTTTTCAAATCCACAAAATGATGGGTATTAGACTCTATGTTTTAAAAGCTGCTGCCTGATGTAAAGTCCTACACTTTAATACTTGAATGAATACTTAGGGTGAGAGAGAATAGTGACTCCCTAACTGAATTTGTTCTACAATAGGAAACAGCTCTCATGGAGGTCATTCAGCTGAGATGCTGGATGAATTGACAGCTTTAAGTCCTGCTATAGTCAGAATATGTCTCCTCTCCACCTGCCAGAGATCCATGCCTCCCACCATTGCTCTGTTGCAGGGGTACCAACTTTGGATCTGTGCTGCTGGAGTGGGGGAGCTCCCACAGTGTTTGTTCATACAAGAGGGTTTTTAGCAGCTACCCACCCAGAATAATTTGGGAAGAAGGCCTATAGATGCCATAAAATGGAGGTTCCTCAAGGAATTCTCAGGGGAAATGTTACAACAGCACTCTGCCGAGGAGATGAGATGCACCTGGTTATTTTGTAAGTAGAAGGTGTGGAACTGCAGGTATGGTTCTGCTTTGTTGCCCCACAGTGATCAAAGTTTTGCAGCCCAAACAAGGATTTGGGGAAGTCACAGCTCAGAGAACACCCAAGCACATCAATGTTCAAAAGTGTAGTATGAAGTGGTACTGCCCAAACTCATTAATCAGGAACAGCCACGTGGTATATATAGGAACTTGCATTCTTTTACCTTACAGATTACATTATCAATTCACCTTGATGCAATAATGTGTCCTCCCATTGGTCCTTGAGCTTTACTAAGATAGTTTCTTTGGCCAGAGTCCCTTTGAGGTTGCTATAAAGAGAACCCAACTTACCTATGGAGATTCTATTGCTTCTGCTCTGTCTTCTGCTCATCTATTATTTCTCAGCCCTAATGGAACTAGTATGCAAAACACTAGTAGGGAGATAATATTGAATCTTGTCAGCCTTTATAACTTGATCTAGTAAGGTACTCCTCAAATAGCTCAGGTAATCTGTCCCAATATAGTCCTGATTTTCCCCAATCAAATACACTTCTGACAATAGATATGAATTCAGACACTGGGCCACTGAGTCACACTGTCTGGGGGGCATCAGTCTTGGAGGTTAGGAGTCCTGGCCGGGGAAACAGGAGACTGACTATCCTATCATGGATTGTATACAGCACACCCATATGTGGGGATGGATGTGGGTCTTGGTCAGAAACCATCCTTGTGGGAAACCGAGGGCATTCCTAGTAGATGAAGTATCCTCTCTGCTGGGGGTATTTTGTCACAGTGACAAAGTATGGTGTTTTGCAAAGCTAGTTGACTACCGTCACCTCTTAGAAGGAGGTAAACCCATCATAAAGATTGATTGATGGCAGGGTCAGACTGACTATGGCTTACAATTGGAGCTCTGGTTGAGTTAGGGTCTTGCTCCCTAACTCAAACAGAAGTGCAGCCCTGGACAGGTAGCATTAGCATCATCTGGAAGTTCGTGAAAAAGCAGACTTAGGCCTCATGCCAATCCTACTGGATCAAAACTCAATTTGACAAGATTCCCAGGCAATTTATATGCCCATTAAAGTTTAAGAGGCCCTGGGTTAGGGTGCTTCTTTTGAAAAGAAGGTAAGTATCTCTTCTAGAGGCCAGTCATTTACACTGTAGTAAGAAAGCTTAATCGGAATACTTCTCATTTATCCTTTAGCTAAAATATGCCAGAATGGGAATTTTTGTTGCAAGGAGGGAACATCACCAAACCCCCAACTCCTGACCGCTGCTGTAACTTCAGCTCTTACCATGGGGATCTAGCACACAGTAGCATCAACATATCTTTTGTCATTTGGCTGAATAACTCATTCACAATGAGAAAGAATATGTGGCTTTGTGTTTTTCAGTATTTGACTCATGCTCAGGTGTGGTGGGCAGAATAACAGACTACAAATGTCCATGTCATAATCCCTAGAACCTGTGAATATGTTACCTTACACAGCAAAGGGGAGTGGAGGTTGCAGATAAAATTAAGGTGGCTAAGCAGCTGATTTTAAGATAGAGAGAGTGTCCTGGGTGATCCAGGTGGGCCCCATATAATCACAAGTGTCCTGAAAAGTGAAAGAGGGAGGCAGAAGAGAAGGTCAGAGTCAGAGAAGGAGATGTGAGAAGGACTAGCGCTGCCCTTGCTGGCTTTGAAGACAGAGGAGGAGGGCCCTGAGTTGAGAAATGTGAGTGATTTCTAGAAGCTGGAACAGGCAAGGAAACTCTCCTAGAGCCCTCAGAAAAGAATGCAGTGCTACCAACACGTTGATTTTTGCCCAATAAGACATGTGGTAGACTTTTTACCTATGGAACTGTAGGACAATAAATTTATGTTGTTTTAAGCTATTAAGTGTATAGTAATTTGTTATGGCAACAATAGAAAACCTGTAAAACAGGAAACAGTTCCTTTGTTTTGAATGTGAAAAACAGACAAAATGCTAGAATTATGTCTTTTTTTTCTTTTTTATATCTTTTGGAATTCACCTGCACATGTTTGAGGTAATCCTGCTTCTCAGTTCGTGGAATATTATCATTTATTCATAGAAGAACCAACCTTTTTGTGAAAACATTTTTTTAAGGTTTATTGTTTTTTTCCCTTCATCTATCATTCCTAATCCCACTGCCCTCCTTGCACAGGTATCCACTCTAATACATGTAATATAGTTCTTCCAATCCATCCAACAGATGTTTATTTAGATATATGAGCGTCCTTACAAAAATACACAAGGCTGCTTTATGTGTGTGTTTGATAGATAAATGGAATTGTGCTATAAATCCCATTCTGTTTTTGCTTTTTTACTCTTAACTCCATTTTTGAGATCAATCCAGGTTTCTAAATGAAAATATAATTTATTATCCTATTGTATACACAAACTATATTTTACCTGTACATTCCTTGGACATAGACACCTAGGTTGCCTCCAGCAGAGTGATAGTGAAGCTTGTTAGGAACATCTTGTGTTCCCTGGGAAGAATTTCCCCGGGTGTATACCCAGGAGTGGGCTTGGTGGATTTAAGGTGCACAATTGTCCTTCAGAACGGCTGCATCTGCAGTGGGTGAGGGCTCTCTTTCCCCACCTTTTTGCCAATGCTTGGTAATATCTGACTTAAAAAGTGATATGCAATGGGCAACAAATAGCTGTGAAAGGAAGTGCTATATAGATGACTTAGTGGAAACCATGCTGTAAATGCAGAATGAGCAGGGAAAAGTTAAAAAATAATTCTTGGAGGAAGAGCATCTTACCAGCAGGACAGATGTGGCTGGGAAGAGGAAAGCCCTCGAGGCAAGAAGGTTGTGTGTGTGGTTCACCATTGAGTGGTCTTTATCACCAGTGAGATCACCCTTCTTCTGACTACAGCTATCTGGAACTCAGTCTAGTCTATTTCCAGCCTGAGCTTTTTGCTAACCTTCCCCGGACACGTGAGGGACTCTCTTGACTCAGCTTCCAACTCATTCTCTGCTTTAACTTCCTCTTTGCCACTTTACAAATTTGTGTGATTTAATGACTTTTGACAGACACATGCCCCTGGGAAAGCACCATTATTACCACATGAAACATTTCCATCATTCCAAAAAGTTCCTTTGTATATGTTTGCAGTCCATCCTGCCTCCTGCTCTTAGCATCATAGAACTACTGATTTGCTTTCTGTCACTTCAGGGAAGTTCACATTTTCCAGAATTTTATATAAATAGAATTGTTTAGTATGCACTCTTTTGTGTCTGGCTTTTTTCCACTCAGCATAATTATTTTGAGTTTTACTCATTTTATTGACATATCAATAATTTATTTGTTTTTACTGCTGAATAGTATTCTATTGTATGAATATATGGCATTTTGTTTCTCTTGTTGAGGGACATTTGTTTTGGGCTATTATTATTAAAGCTTCTATAGACATTCATATATAAGCTTTTGTGTGGACATATGTTTTAACTTTCTTGGATAAATACTTAGGAGTCCAATGGCTGGGTCATATGACAGGTGTATGTTTAACATTTTAAGAAACTGCTGGCCTGGTGCAGTGGCTCACGCCTGTAATCCCAGCACTTTGGGAGGCTGAGACAGGTGGATCACCTGAGGTCAGGAGTTCAAGACCACCCTGGCCAACATGGTGAAACCCCGTTTCTAATAAAAATACAAAAATTATTACGGTGTGGTGGCACACACCTGTAATCCCAGCTATTTGGGAGGCTGAGGAAGAAGAACTGCTTGAACCTGGGAGGCAGAGGTTGCAGTGAGCCAAGATCGCACCACTGCACTCCAGCCTGGGTGACAAGAGCAAAACTCTGTCTCAGAAAAAAAGAAAGAAAGAAAGAAAGAAACCGCCATACCCTTTTTCAAAGTGGTTGTACCATTTTACATTCTGAACAGCATTATAGGAGAATTCCAGTTGTTTCCACATTCTTGTCAAGGGTTGGTAGGGTCAGTCTTTTAAATTTCTTGCCATTTTAGTGACTGTGCATTGGTATTTCATTGTGGTTTATTTGCATGATGACTAATGCTCAACACCAATTAATCATGTTGAGTACTTTTAATGTGCTTATTTGCCATTCATATATCTTCTTTGGTGAAGTGTCTCTTCAAATATTTTGCCCATTTAAAAATTGTGTTGGTTCTTGTTATTGAATTGTAAGAATTCTTTCTATCCGGATATAAATCCTTTGCCAGATATGTGTATTACAAATGTTTTCTCCTAGCCTTCCACCTCAGCCTCCCAAGTAGCTGGGAATGCAGGTGTGCACCAACACTCAGGTTTTTTTGTTTTTGTTGTTGTTTTTGTTTTTTTTTCTGTAGAGACAGGGTCTTGCCATGCTGCCGAGGCTGCTCTCAAACTCCTGGGATCAAGCAATCCTCCTGCCTCAGCCTCCCAAAGTGCTGACATTACAAGCATGAGCCACTGTGCCTGGCTAACTTTTCATCTTTTAAAGTAGTGTCTTGCAAAGAACAACATTTTAATGAAGTCCAATTTATCAACTTTTTGATTCATTGTCCATGCTTTTTGCATAGTAAGAAATCTTTGCCTGCCTCAAAATTGCAAAGCTTTTCTTCTATGTTTTCTTCTAGAAATAGTTTTAGATTTTTACATCACTTGTGCTTATTCTTAACTTCCTCATTTGGTCTCTTGGATCCTTGGGTCCGTGGAGCTATTCTGGAAGGGTTACTAGTATCTCTTTTTGCTTGTAATGGGAGCAAACCTTAGGACCTAACTGGAGTCCTTTGATTACATCATCAGCCATTTGGGCTTGCAATCACATAAACATACTGAAGAAAATTCCACTAGGAGAGTGTTCTCTCCTACTTAGGTACTATAATAGAGAATAAGACTAGTTATCCTTTTGGGAGCCTAAATTGGATTTATATCCCTCTGAAGAAAAGTAGGTGGAGTGCCAGGAGCTGATTTGGCTAAATGAAGAGGGAAGGTGTTCTTGCTGAAATGCCTGGGGAGAAGAGGGGGATCAGGAGGCAACAAGGTGTCTGTCCCGGATATTTATGATGAGCCAAATTCTAGCAAGTCAAGCAGAAACTGAAGTATGTGATTTCATAACCGATGTTGTGAGACAGAAGAGCACAAAGGTGCTGCATTGGCACCTGGAGGGAAAGTGTCCTAAGGGGGAGGAATAAGACACTTTTCCCCACTTCATGTAGACTCAGCATGATTTTAGCCAGAAAACACTCTGGGAAGTCTAGGGCCACTTTGGCACCATGGGAGTTTGCCCCTCTGGTTGCTCCAAGAACACAGATATTAATGTAGCACAGATATTAATATTAATATTAATTAGCACAGATATAAATGTAGTCACAGAAAGAAAAAGAGGTGAAAAAGAGACAGGTTCTTCAGTGCATGAGAGACTCCCTTTGGGATCTCTCAGAAATGTGGAAGCAGAGGCTATAGCACAAGCCTGGGTTATTGCTAGTAGCAAGACAGAAAATAAGGCTTGGGTAAGCTGTAGTTATAGTTACAATGGAAATGACTGGCCCAAGAGAGTGCTACAGATTACATAGCAGCCACTAAGAAAAAGGACAGGCAGAAGGGGTAGGCAAGACATGTTCTCTGGCTGTTGCAGCCACCAAAAAGCCAGGATACAAAGGCAGGGAGTTATCTGAACTGCCTTCCTGGAGGGTCATGCATTTAGGATCTGACTCATTGACTCTTTTCCTTAATTTTGCTCTGTACATTTCTCTAAGAGGGCTAACCAGTGTCAAGGTTTGATAATATCTGAAATGGTATTCTGGTGCCAAAGTATCATCTCACAAATTATTTAGAAATTGCAAAAGAGAAAATGTACTTTATAATCCAGATATCTGGCAGTTATCCACGTGATCAAATTTAGCATCAGTGACAGTAGGACAACTAGATATTATATACCTCTTGCTGTAATATATTATGAAGTACACAACATCAACTATGAAGGTTTTTTTTTTTGAGATAGGGTTTTGCTCTGTCACCCAGTTTAGAGGGCAGCTGTGCAAAGCTCACTGCAGCTTTGACCTCCCAGTCTCAAGTGATCCTCCCACCTCAGCCTCCCTAGTAGCTGGGACTACAGATGTGTGCCACCATACCTGGCTAATTTTATACATATTTTTTGTGGAGATGTTGTTTCACCATGTTGCACAGGCTGGTCTCGAACTCCTGTGGGAGTTCTGCCTGAAAGTGCTGGGATTATAGGCGTGAGCCACTGTGTCCAAACTATGAAGTATTCTTGCCAAAATAGATTAACCTAAATCTAATCAAGCTTCTAGGTCAGAAGTGTCCAATAGCAATATAATGTCAGCTGCAGCTACATGTAATTTCAAATTTTCTGGTTGCCACCAAAAGCACAAAAAGAAAAAATAGATAAATTGGACTACATAAAGATTAAATACTTCCGTGCATCAAAGGACACAATCAACACAGAGAAAAGGCAAACCACTGAAGGGGAGAAAATATTTGCAAATTGATATTCATAATATGCGAAGAATCCTTACAACTGAACAACTACAA
This sequence comes from Homo sapiens, assembly GCF_000001405.40. Taxonomy (NCBI): domain Eukaryota; kingdom Metazoa; phylum Chordata; class Mammalia; order Primates; family Hominidae; genus Homo; species Homo sapiens. The sequence goes on along the minus strand of NC_000003.12, from coordinate 125,945,521 downwards.
AATAATTAACAGATTGAAAAATGGGGAAAGGAGTTGAATAGACATTTCTCCAAAGAAGATGTACAACTGGTCAATAAACACACAAAAAGACTAATTATGAGGGAAATGCAAATTAAAACCACAATGAGATCAAACACATTAAGTTGGCTATTATAAAAAAAAAAAAAAAAAAAAAAGAAAGTGCCAGGCACAATGATGCTGTAGTCCCAGCACTCAAGAGGCTGAGGTGGGAGAATTTCTTGAGACCAGGAGTTAGAGGCTGCAGTGCACTAAGTGTGAATAGCCACTGCACTCCAACATGTGCAACACAGCAAGACCCCATCCCTAAAATAAAATAAGATAAAATATAAGGCAACAAAAAATAACAAGTATTGGTAAGGATGTGGAGAAATTGGAACCCTCGTGCATTGCTGGTGGGTGTGTAAAAAGGTATGGCTGCTGTGAAAAATGGGATGGCTAATCCTCAAAAAATTAACCACAGAATTACTATATGATCCAGCAACCCCACTTCTGCATATACACTCAAAAGAAGTAGAATCAAAGACTCAAACAGGTATTTGTACCCCCCGTTCATAGCAGCATTATTTACAATAGCCAAAAAGTAGAAGCAATAAAAGTGTTCATCAATGTATGAATGGATAAACAAAATGCGGCATATACATGCAGTGGGATATCATTCAGCTTTAAAAAGGGAGGAAATTCTAACACATGCCACAACATGGATAAACCTAGAAGACATTGTGCTAAGTGAAATAAGTCAGTCACAAAAGCACAAATACGGTGTGATTCTATTTACATGAAGTACCAGAGTTGTCAAATGTATAGAGACAGAAAGTAGAATGGTCGTTGCCAGGGGCTGAGGAGTTAGTATTTTACTGGATGCAGTTTCAGTGGGGTAGATAAAAAAGTTCTGGAGGTGGATGGTGGTGATGGTTACACAACAATCTGACTGTACTTAATGCCACTGAAGTGTACATTTAAAAATGGTTAAAATGGTACGTTTTATGTTATGTGTATTTTGGCACAATGAAAACAGCTATAAAAGGCATTCTTGAAACAACTGGGGATATCTGATATTCTGGAATTATTATTACTTTTCTTAGGTGTAATAAAAGTATTGTGGTTATATACATTATATAAAAAGAGGATAATGTCCTTATTCTTAGGAGATGCTTTCTGAACTATTTGGGGATAAAGTGCTCTGTAATATCTGCTCTGTGAAGACAGACCTTAGGGAGGCTTTTCCTCTTTATTATACTTCAGGCACCATACTTGGCTACCATACTCATCACATGACCCAGCAATTGCCTGGACTTTGCAGGCTCCAGATAGTCTTCCCACATGTTAATCCTCACAACAACCCCAAAGATAGGTCTTATAGATCCCTATTTAGTACGTAGGGAAACGAAAGTTCCGGTGTTTTCCCAGGATCACTTGGTGGTACGTCCCTGCAGGCCAACTGGAACTTGAAGCAAGTGACACAAGCTGGAGACTCTTATTTTCTCTACAGGACTGAAGTTTCAGTAAAGAGTCAGTTAACACAGTGGATTTTTCCAAGACTTTGGGGTTTGAAAGGTCACTGGGACAGGCCAGAAAAGAGGAAGCAGAAAACATATCAATTCTTAGAGTGTGATATGTGAGATTCTTCCAAATGCTCTGTGGTCTGGGTCTATTGCCCCACAGAAGGTAGATGGCATCCTGGATAAGATCAGGTCTTCCAAAGCAGACTCGGGGTTGGAATTTTTGCTCCATCATTTACCAGCCGTGCTACTTGGGGTAAATTACTTAAACAGTCTGAACCTTAGCTTCCTCATCTGTAAAACAGAAATAATAATAATATTTCTCATGGGGCTGCTGTGGGGATAAAATTAGATAATGTACCCAAAGCTCTTCACACAGAAAAGCCTTCCCCTGCTGGATCTCTCATGTACCCCCTGGATTTTCTAGGAGAGTGTGGCTTCTCCAGCAGCTTCTCAAACAGCTGTTGAGAATCACTGTTTGTAATGAGAAATATTATGAATGTGGAGCCAGAAAAAGTCTGACAGCCTTTGTAGCAGGGGGATGAGGAGGAGGTGGTTGTGTGTGTCCTCAGCTCAGTGGTAGGTGCTGGGCATGTGGTAGGAATGAGAAAGTAAAAGTAGCTATTATTAGTAGAATAGTATCTATAACTTTTATTTTTTGGCATAAATTAACAATTTAACAAAAGCCAGACATTATTTTTGTTGGTGCTTTACTAGAAACATTGCTGTTTTCTAATGACTTCTGGTAGTATTTCATTATTATTTTCTCTTTTTGGTTTTATTTTGTGTAAAAGGACTAAGTGAGATGGGTGTTTGCAATTTTTTTCTTTCCAACTGACTAGCTAGTCAATGCTCTTTTGGACCCCAGCCCACCCCCCTGAAAAAAAGGAAAAAGAACAAATTGAGAACTTATGAAACCACAACCCAGAAACCTGAATGTTTTTCATTTTAACTTTTCTTGGAAAAATTTGATGAAAAGCCTGTGCTGTGGTTTTAAACGGCATTGGGATGTCCATCTCCTGTCCCTATTCCCAACCCCCTAAACGTGATTTATATTGCCCTATTTTAAGCTAGTGCAGATTTATGAGACTTTAAACACCATGGATGGAGTTACTGGAGGTTTAAAGGGATTAAGCAGCACCTGGAGGTGTATAAGTTGTTTAAAAGATTTATCAGCATTTCCATGTTAAAATACACTTCTCAAGGATTCTCATATCCTGGATATGAATCTATTTTGGGCAGAGGAGTAAATTTTTAGGATGTCTCATAAATGGAGAAAAAAATCATCCCTCTATCGCTTCTTGCTTTGTTTTTTGTTTTTTTTTATTTTTATTTTTACTTTTTATTATACTTTAAGTTTTACGGTACATGTGCACATTGTGCAGGTTAGTTACATATGTATACATGTGCCATGCTGGTGCGCTGCACCCACTAACTCGTCATCTAGCATTAGGTATATCTCCCAATGCTATCCCTCCCCCCTTCTCCCACCCCACCACAGTCCCCAGAGTGTGATATTCCCCTTCCTGTGTCCATGTGATCTCATTGTTCAATTCCCACCTATGAGTGAGAATATGCAGTGTTTGGTTTTTTGTTCTTGCGATAGTTTACTGAGAATGATGATTTCCAATTTCATCCATGTCCCTACAAAGGACATGAACTCATCATTTTTTATGGCTGCATAGTATTCCATGGTGTATATGTGCCACATTTTCTTAATCCAGTCTATCATTGTTGGACATTTGGGTTGGTTCCAAGTCTTTGCTATTGTGAATAATGCCGCAATAAACATACGTGTGCATGTGTCTTTATAGCAGCATGATTTATAGTCCTTTGGGTATATACCCAGTAATGGGATGGCTGGGTCAAATGGTATTTCCAGTTCTAGATCCCTGAGGAATCGCCACACTGACTTCCACAATGGTTGAACTAGTTTACAGTCCCACCAACAGTGTAAAAGTGTTCCTATTTCTCCACATCCTCTCCAGCACCTGTTGTTTCCTGACTTTTTAATGATTGCCATTCTAACTGGTGTGAGATGGTATCTCATTGTGGTTTTGATTTGCATTTCTCTGATGGCCAGTGATGATGAGCATTTTTTTCATGTGTTTTTTGGCTGCATAAATGTCTTCTTTTGAGAAGTGTCTGTTCATGTCCTTCGCCCACTTTTTGATGGGGTTGTTTGTTTTTTTCTTGTAAATTTGTTTGAGTTCATTGTAGATTCTGGATATTAGCCCTTTGTCAGATGAGTAGGTTGTGAAAATTTTCTCCCATTTTGTAGGTTGCCTGTTCACTCTGATGGTAGTTTCTTTTGCTGTGCAGAAGCTCTTTAGTTTAATTAGATCCCATTTGTCAATTTTGTCTTTTGTTGCCATTGCTTTTGGTGTTTTGGACATGAAGTCCTTGCCCATGCCTATGTCCTGAATGGTATTGCCTAGGTTTTCTTCTAGGTTTTTTATGGTTTTAGGTCTAACGTTTAAGTCTTTAATCCATCTTGAATTGATTTTTGTATAAGGTGTAAGGAAGGGATCCAGTTTCAGCTTTCTACATATGGCTAGCCAGTTTTCCCAGCACCGTTTATTAAATAGGGAATCCTTTCCCCATTTCTTGTTTTTCTCAGGTTTGTCAAAGATCAGATAGTTGTAGATAGGCAGCGTTATTTCTGAGGGCTCTGTTCTGTTCCATTGATTGATATCTCTGTTTTGGTACCAGTACCATGCTGTTTTGGTTACTGTAGCCTTGTAGTATAGTTTGAAGTCAGGTAGTGTGATGCCTCCAGCTTTGTTCTTTTGGCTTAGGATTGCCTTGGCGATGCGGGCTCTTTTTTGGTTCCATATGAACTTTAAAGTAGTTTTTTCCAATTCTGTGAAGAAAGTCATTGGTAGCTTGATGGGGATGGCATTGAATCTGTAAATTACCTTGGGCAGTATGGCCATTTTCACGAATTGATTCTTCCTACCCATGAGCATGGAATGTTCTTCCATTTGTTTGTATCCTCTTTTATTTCCTTGAGCAGTGGTTTGTAGTTCTCCTTGAAGAGGTCCTTCACATCCCTTGTGAGTTGGATTCCTAGGTATTTTATTCTCTTTGAAGCAATTGTGAATGGGAGTTGACTCATGATTTGGCTCTCTGTTTGTCTGTTGTTGGTGTATAAGAATGCCTGTGATTTTTGTACATTGATTTTGTATCCTGAGACTTTGCTGAAGTTGCTTATCAGTTTAAGGAGATTTTGGGCTGAGACAATGGGGTTTTCTAGATATACAATCATGTCATCTGCAAACAGGGACAATTTGACTTCCTCTTTTCCTAATTGAATGCCCTTTGTTTCCTTCTCCTGCCTAATTGCCCTGGCCAGAACTTCCAACACTATGTTGAATAGGAGTCGTGAGAGAGGGCATCCCTGTCTTGTGCCAGTTTTCAAAGGGAATGCTTCTAGTTTTTGCCCATTTAGTATGATATTGGCTGTGGGTTTGTCATAGATAGCTCTTATTATTTTGAAATATGTCCCATCAATACCTAATTTATTGAGAGTTTTTAGCATGAAGGGTTGTTGAATTTTTTCAAAGGCCTTTTCTGCATCTATTGAGATAATCATGTGGTTTTTGTCTTTGGCTCTGTTTATATGCTGGATTACATTTATTGATTTGTGTATATTGAACCAGCCTTGCATCCCAGGGATGAAGCCCACTTGATCATGGTGGATAAGCTTTTTGATGTGCTGCTGGATTCGTTTTGCCCGTATTTTATTGAGGATTTTTGCATCAATGTTCATCAAGGATATTGGTCTAAAATTCTCTTTTTTGGTTGTGTCTCTGCCCGGCTTTGGTATCAGAATGATGCTGGCCTCATAAAATGAGTTAGGGAGGATTCCCTCTTTTTCTATTGATTGGAATAGTTTCAGAAGGAATGGTACCAGTTCCTCCTTGTACCTCTGGTATAATTCGGCTGTGAATCCATCTGGTCTTGGACTCTTTTTGGTTGGTAAACTATTGATTATTGCCACAATTTCAGCTCCTGTTATTGGTCTATTCAGAGATTCAACTTCTTCCTGGTTTAGTCTTGGGAGAGTGTATGTGTCTAGGAATTTATCCATTTCTTCTAGATTTTCTAGTTTATTTGCGTAGAGGTGTTTGTAGTATTCTCTGATGGTAGTTTGTATTTCTGTGGGATCAGTGGTGATATCCCCTTTATCATTTTTTATTGCGTCTATTTGATTCTTCTCTCTTTTTTTCTTTATTAGTCTTGCTAGCGTTCTATCAATTTTGTTGATCCTTTCAAAAAACCAGCTCCTGGATTCATTAATTTTTTGAAGGGTTTTTTGTGTCTCTATGTCCTTCAGTTCTGCTCTGATTTTAGTGATTTCTTGCCTTCTGCTAGCTTTTGAATGTGTTTGCTCTTGCTTTTCTAGTTCTTTTAATTGTGATGTTAGGGTGTCAATTTTGGATCTTTCCTGCTTTCTCTTGTGGGCATTTAGTGCTATAAATTTCCCTCTACACACTGCTTTGAATGCATCCCAGAGATTCTGGTATGTTGTGTCTTTGTTCTCGTTGGTTTCAAAGAACATCTTTATTTCTGCCTTCATTTCATTATGTATCCAGTAGTCATTCAGGAGCAGGTTGTTCAGTTTCCATGTAGTTGAGCGGTTTTGAGTGAGATTCTTAATTCTGAGTTCTAGTTTGATTGCACTGTGGTCTGAGAGATAGTTTGTTATAATCTCTGTTCTTTTACATTTGCTGAGGAGAGCTTTACTTCCAAGTATGTGGTCAATTTTGGAATAGGTGTGGTGTGGTGCTGAAAAAAATGTATATTCTGTTGATTTGGGGTGGAGAGTTCTGTAGATGTCTATTAGGTCCTCTTGGTGCAGAGCTGAGTTCAATTCCTGGGTATCCTTGTTGACTTTCTGTCTCGTTGATCTGTCTAATGTTGACAGTGGGGTGTTAAAGTCTCCCATTATTAATGTGTGGGAGTCTAAGTCTCTCTGTAGGTCACTCAGGACTTGCTTTATGAATCTTGGTGCTCCTGTATTGGGTGCATATATATTTAGGATAGTTAGCTCTTCTTGTTGAATTGATCCCTTTACCATTATGTAATGGCCTTCTTTGTCTCTTTTGATCTTTGTTGGTTTAAAGTCTGTTTTATCAGAGACTAGGATTGCAACCCCTGCCTTTTTTTTGTTTTCCATTTGCTTGGTAGATCTTCCTCCATCCTTTTATTTTGAGCCTATGTGTGTCTCTGCACGTGAGATGGGTTTCCTGAATACAGCACACTGATGGGTCTTGACTCTTTATCCAATTTGCCAGTCTGTGTCTTTTAATTGGAGCGTTTAGTCCATTTACATTTAAAGTTAATATTGTTATGTGTGAATTTGGTCCTGTCATTATGATGTTAGCTGGTTATTTTGCTCGTTAATTGATGCAGTTTCTTCCTAGTCTCGATGGTCTTTACATTTTGGCATGATTTTGCAGCGGCTGGTACTGGTTGTTCCTTTCCATGTTTAGTGTTTCCTTCAGGAGCTCTTTTAGGGCAGGCCTGGTGGTGACAAAATCTCTCAGCATTTGCTTGTCTCTAAAGTATTTTATTTCTCCTTCACTTATGAAGCTTAGTTTGGCTGGATATGAAATTCTGGGTTGAAAATTCTTTTCTTTAAGAATGTTGAATATTGGCCCCCACTCTCTTCTGGCTTGTAGGATTTCTGCCAAGAGATCTGCTGTTAGTCTGATGGGCTTCCCTTTGAGGGTAACCCGACCTTTCTCTCTGGCTGCCCTTAACATTTTTTCCTTCATTTCAACTTTAGTGAATCTGACAATTATGTGTCTTGGAGTTGCTCTTCTCGAGGAGTATCTTTGTGGCATTCTCTGTATTTCCTGAATCTGAACCTTGGCCTGCCTTGCTAGATTGGGGAAGTTCTCCTGGATAATATCCTGCAGAGTGTTTTCCAACTTGGTTCCATTCTCCCCATCACTTTCAGGTACACCAATCAGATGTAGATTTGGTCTTTTCACATAGTCCCATATTTCTTGGAGGCTTTGCTCATTTCTTTTTATTCTTTTTTCTCTAAACTTCCCTTCTCACTTCATTTCATTCATTTCATCTTCCATTGCTGATACCATTTCTTCCAGTTGACTGCATCGGCTCCTGAGGCTTCTGCATTCTTCACGTAGTTCTCGAGCCTTGGTTTTCAGCTCCATCAGCTCCTTTAAGCACTTCTCTGTATTGGTTATTCTAGTTATACATTCTTCTAAATTTTTTTCAAAGTTTTCAACTTCTTTGCCTTTGGTTTGAATGTCCTCCTGTAGCTCAGAGTAATTTGATCGTCTGAAGCCTTCTTCTCTCAGCTTGTCAAAGTCATTCTCCATCCAGCTTTGTTCCATTGCTGGTGAGGAACTGCGTTCCTTTGGAGGAGGAGAGGTGCTCTGCATTTTAGAGTTTCCCATTTTTCTGTTCTGTTTTTTCCCCATCTTTGTGGTTTTATCTACTTTTGGTCTTTGATGATGGTGATGTACAGATGGGTTTTTGGTGTGGATGTCCTTTCTGTTTGTTAGTTTTCCTTCTAACAGACAGGATCCTCAGCTGCACGTCTGTTGGAATACCCTGCCGTGTGAGGTGTCAGTGTGCCCCTGCTGGGGGGTGCCTCCCAGTTAGGCTGCTCAGGGGTCAGGGGTCAGGGACCCACTTGAGGAGGCAGTCTGCCCATTCTCAGATCTCCAGCTGCGTGCTGGGAGAACCACTGCTCTCTTCAAAGCTGTCAGACAGGGACATTTAAGTCTGCAGAGGTTACTGCTGTCTTTTTGTTTGTCTGTGCCCTGCCCCCAGAGGTGGAGCCTACAGAGGCAGGCAGGCCTCCTTGAGCTGTGGTGGGCTCCACCCAGTTTGAGCTTCCCAGCTGCTTTGTTTACCTAAGCAAGCCTGGGCAATGTCGGGTGCCCCTCCCCCAGCCTCACTGCCGCCTTGCAATTTGATCTCAGACTGCTGTGCTAGCAATCAGTGAGACTCCGTGGGCGTAGGACCCTCTGAGCCAGGTGCGGGATATAATCTTGTGGTGCGCCGTTTTTTAAGCCGGTCCGAAAAGCGCAATATTCGGGTGGGAGTGACCCGATTTCCCAGGTGAGTCCGTCACCCCTTTCTTTGACTCGGAAAGGGAACTCCCTGACCCCTTGCGCTTCCCAAGTGAGGCAATGCCTCTCCCTGCTTCGGGTTGCGCACAGTGCACGCACCCACTGACCTGCGCCCACTGTCTGGCACTCCCTAGTGAGATGAACCCGGTACCTCAGATGGAAATGCAGAAATCACCCATCTTCTGCGTCGCTCACGCTGGGAGCTGTAGACCGGAGCTGTTCCTATTCGGCCATCTTGGCTCCTCTCCTTGCTTTGTTTTTTGGGCTGTGCCTGTGCCCCCTCACCTCTCTGTCTTGCATGTCTAGCTAGTTCTGTTTCTGCGGTTTTCCTTCTCTCTGTTCCTGAGCGGTTGATCTCTTAGTGTTTCTCTGTGTTCACAAACTCAGCCTTTGACCTAGGAACCTAACAGCCAGAGGGAGCCTGAAGCTTTCTTGCCTGCCCTTGGCTCCTTGTGGTCCAGGGAGGGCTGCAGTGGGTGGGAATGCCTGACACAGGGTGACTAGTCTCTGTGTTTACACCAGGGGGAGCAATGACTCCGTGGCTGAGAGGGGCTGGCTAGAGTCTGGAGTTTCCAAATGTCCATTCAAGGCAAAACACAATTCCTAGGTAGTTAAATTTAGGAGACTCTGTATTGAATGACCTTGAAAATAGGTTCAGGGCACAACATGGGCACACCGCTTTGTCATATTCTACAAATACTGGGGAGAGCCAACATTCTTCTCATTGCCAATAATTATGCTCATCAGCCTCCACGTCTTGCCTCTCACGTTTCTTCCATGTCCCAGCTCTGCCCACCGTGTTAAATCAGTGTGGATGTAGGGAACATGAACACATTTTAATATCAGCCTAAACCAGACATCACTGGGAAGGAGATTGGAGAAACTAAAACCCTAGAAAAGACAAATCTAATCTATAGTGACAGAAAGCAGACTGGTGGTTGCTTGGGGCCAAGGTAGGGCCAGATTGGCTGAGATGGCACAAGAAAACTTTTTGTGATGTTGAAAGTATGCTATGCCTTGATTGTGGTGATGGTCAGACAGTTATATAAAGCTGTAAACACTCACTAAAATGTACAATGAAAATGGGCATAAACTATGCCTTGGTTTTTAAATGTCTCTGTTGTACATTCACACCAGCCTTTACCTCCGTTAGCACAGACAATAGGAAGCTGTGTGTGAGTCTTAGAATGCTCCCCAATCCAGGGATGGTTGTTCAACCAGCCTATGCCGTGTATCCATAGAGGGCACGGATAATCCAAAGCAGCAGATAAAACACCTAATTAGTTCTAATTGACTCTGGACTTTTTCTGTGCATTTACATTCCCTGAGTACAACCTGACTGACAGGAGCGGGGAGAGTAGGCAGCCAAGAAATGTGGCAGGGGAGGCCAGATTAAACAATTACAAGGGAGGGACAACAAAAGGGTGACTGACCACGCAGATGATAAAGAATTGTTGACTTTGTAATGAGAACCGCACATTGCGCAAAGCAATTGGTGGGGTGGAGCAGATGTGCATTAGAAACGAAACCAACCACCCGGAATGGTCATGGTCTCTGGATAACAGTAGCTTCATCAACTCCGTCTTTTCCACATGTCTAAAATTTTGATATTACTTAAGTCAGGCACACTGCTCTATTCATTCTGACATCTGAATATCCATTTTAAAGTGGGCTAGGCTCACCCAGAGGATGATACAACTAGATTAAGAAAATGAAATGAAGGATGAAAACTCCTGGTTCGTGCTTTCGCCACATCCACAGGAGCAACAGACTAAGACATTCCTCCACACAATAACAGACCCAGGCAGTGCAGAGCCATGTGTGTCTTATCTGTCCTGTTGTCCACAGTCTGGTTTTATCTTAGACCTAGCCTGGTGCAATCCATGTTGTGTATTGGCACTCCACTTAAGTTTCCTGTTTGTAAAAAGCCCCTTTCATTCGGTGATTCCTCAGGGCTTTAGGGGAACTTTCTGGAAACCAGGAAGAAGGAAATAAAGGTTGTTTTACTGAGGATGGGTGACGTTGGGCGCGGGACCCAAATGAGTGGTTTGAGCAGAAAGTAGCCTCCACGCTGGACTAATGCTTGGCAACATAATGGGAAAATTTGGGGAAGCCGGGAGAGGAGGGGGCAGAGTTTCTTTCCCAACCAGCCAGGGGGTCCAGGCAGTTTTGGTCCTAGGACGTCTCCCTGTGCATTCCCAAGTGATTGCAAGGCTTCTTCTTGTCATCGTCTGAGACTTGGATTCCCCAAGCGTCCTTCTTTTCCTGGAGCCTCTGAGTCCTCTATTCCTGAGGCCTTTCTTCAGCCCTCCCAATAGCCCTGCCATGATTTCATTGCAGGGCTGTGACCATCTATGACAAGCCGGCATCTTTCTTTAAAGAGACACCTCTGGACCTGCTGCACCGGCTCTTCATGAAGCTGGGTGGCACTCACTCTCTGTTCAGGGCCTGGTAGGCCTCCCCTCCTCAGCTGCCTTCTCTCCTGCTCGCCACTGCCCTGGCCTCTCCCCTTCTCACTGCAGACCTGGGAACCCACTCATCCAGGGGTTGGCAAACTAAGGCTACAGGCCAGTCTCCTGCTTTTGTAAATCAAGTTTCACTGGGACACAACACACTCATTGCCTTCTGAGTTGTCTACAGCCGCCTTTGAGCTACAATAGCAGAATCACGTTTTGCAACAGAGAACCTGTGGCCTGCAAAGCCTGAAGTATTTACTCTCTGGCCCTTTAAGAAATGTTTGTGGACCCCTACGCTGTCTTACTCTCCTGCCAGTGGGTTCCCAGGCCTGTGGCAGATCTGTGGACCTGTGTGTCCCCTGGGGTGTCTCACGGGGCTAAAGAGGGGACCTTTGTGCAGGTCCACACACCCTAAGGTGGGCCCCTGGGTAAGCTGGGGTGGTGTGGGATGGCGTCCCTGCACGCTCATCTTGAGTCCAGGGGATGACAAGACAGTAAGTCCCGTGGAGAAAAGGAATGAGTCAGTCTTGTTTGCTGTTGTAACCTTAGCACCCAGCAACAATATTAGAGAAAGCAAGCCCAGGCCTCGGATGGCAGGGGTGGCCTGGTGCTGCTGATGTGGCCGGGCACCCCAACCTTTGGGAGCCTGCAGGCCTTGCCACGGCAGGAGATGCCCGTCCTGGGTCCTGGGCCTGCTCTGTGGCCTCTCACAGGCTTTTTTCCTGCTCTTTCAGCTCAGAACCTGAGGACGCAGCCATGGAGCGGTCGGCCTTCATGGAGCTGGATGCTGGGAGCAGGCTGGTGATGCATCTCCGCGAGTGGCCAGCCCTGCTGGTCAGCAGCACGGGCTGGACAGGTCTGCACGACCCCTGGAACACTTGGGGTTGGTGTGACGGGCACCTGGCCAACCTGTGTTCTCCTCACCCCTACCAGTCCTGCATGCCCCCACCCCACCACAGTCTCAATGAGAAGGGGAGGGCATGTGAGCTGGAAGAGGGGTGTCTAGAAACAGGCCCCTGATATTCAATTCTCTTCTCATAGAGGATGAAGACTTCTCCATCCTGCTGGCAGCTTTAGAAAGTAGATGTGTAGCTGCGGTGAGGAGCTCCGGGCTTGTCGGGGGCCACTGAGCTGTGAGCTGCTTGCCTGGCCTGCAGCATGTTGCTGTCCCCGGCCACTGGGTGGGGCAGCCTGGGGACAGCAGGGGTGGTGGAGGTGGGCCGCCCTGAATCCTCAGTTGGGTCATTGAGTGACCAGGCCCTCAGGCTGAAATGCCCCCTCCAGGAGAGTATCTCACAGAGGCTGGTGGCCTCCCCACCAGAGCAGTGCTCTTTCTCCACCTGACCAGGTGACTCTGGCTACTGTTTATTTAAAACGTTTTTTCTGAATGGGCATGGTGGCTCACACCTGTAATCCTAGAACTCTGGGAGCCCGCGGCAGGCAGATTACCTGAGGTCAGGAGTTCGAGGCCAACATGGCAAAACCTGTCTCTACTAAAAATACAAAAATTAGCTGGGTATGGTGGTGGGCGCCTGTAATCCCAGCTACTTGGGAGGCTGATGCACGGGAATTACTTGAACCCAGGAGGCAGAGGTTGCAGTGAGCTGAGATCACGCCACTGCATTCCAGCCTGGGTGACAGAGCAAGAGTCTGTCAGAAGAAAAAAAAAAAGAAATTCTATCAGAAATTCCATGTAGAATTGTTTCTTTTTTTAAACACAGAGTTTGAACAACTTACTCTTGATGGACACAACCTTCCTTCTCTTGTCTGTGTGATAACAGGTACCGCCTAGGACCCTGGGTGTCTGTTTGGTTGGGGGATGGTGGAGGGGGAGGGGCACACAGCCTTTACCCTGTGCTTCCCACGATCTTGTCTCCTTAATCTTCACTGCAGCTCTCTGCTATAGGGTCTTATACTGCTTGACATGGGGGAAACTGAGGCTCAGAGGGTTTCACAGCAGGGCAGGGAGCCCAGATTTGAATCTGTAGATACCAAGCTTTCTACTTTTTCAGTAGTTCCCAAGCATCTTTTTTTTTTGTTGTTGTTACGTCATTGGTGTCTTTTTTTCTTTTTTTCTTTTTTTTTGAGACAGAGTCTCTGTCGCCCAGGCTGGGGTGCAGTGGTGTGATCTTTGCTCACTGCAACCTCCGCCTCTCACATTCAAACAATTCTCATGCCTTAGCCTCCCGAGTAGCTGGGACTACAGGGGCCCACCACACTCAGCTAATTTTTGTATTTTTAGTAGAAACAGGGTTTCACCATGTTGGCCAGGCTGGTCTTGAACTCCTGACCTCAGGTGATCTGCCCGCCTTGGGCTCCCAAAATGCTGGGATTACATACGGGAGGTGAACCTGGGAGGTGGAGGTTGCAGTGAGCTGAGATTGTGCCACTGCACTCCAGCCTGGGTAACAGAGTGAGACTCTGTCTCAAAAGGAAACAAACCAAAACAACAACAACAAAAATAAATTGTGGTTAAGTAGAAAAAGTGTCAACTTACATTTTCAGATGTCCCAGCCAGGCTATGTGGCTGCTTGGCCAGCTTAAGCCACTTGTGCTTGGGGCTGTCGGGGGTCTTATCCGATTTTCACTCCCCTCGGGATGTTGCCTCACTGTGCTGGGAAGATTTGTGTTCCCAGGGCAGAGACCAGCGCTCTGACTGCACCCCTCTTGCCTAGCAGGGTCGGTGGACCTGGGTGTCTGTCTGCACATGTCCTCCAGTGGCCTGGACCTGCCCATGAAGGTGGTGGACATGTTCGGGTGCTGTTTGCCTGTGTGTGCCGTGAACTTCAAGTGGTAGGAGCAGAACCCGAATCTTTCTGGGGATAGCTTCACAGATCCACCGCTGAGGAGGAAACAGTGCAGAGCGAGCTGCCCACAGTGAGGCCCTGCCCCTCGGTCAGTCCAGCACACACTGGAGGCCACGAGGAGGAGCCCTGCGGTTACTGTGGCTGGGCTGAGCCTCACTGAAGTAGTTGCTTCCATTTAGAGCTCATGTTATATTTAGGTTGGTACAAAAGTAATCACGGTTTTTGCCATTAAAGGTGGCAATTACTTCTGCACCAACCTAGTATGAAAGAAAAGCATCCCAAATACTAGAACTCCACTCGGGGCTTTTGCTCCTAGAGTAGAATTGGCGGGAATTGCCTGCAGGCTTACATGGTTTTCTTTGTTTCTTTCTCTCCCACCATGTCCCTTTTGGCCAAGCTCACCTGGTGGGTTTGAATCAGTTAAACGATTGTCATGCTGTGGCCTCACTCCACCCAGCATAGATGGCTGTTTGGAAGGGCGGCGTTAGAGGAGATTCTAGAAGCAGTAGCCCCAGCACAAGCTGAGCCCTTGGCCCCTGCTCAGGAGCTGGCTCCTGGATGGGATTCAGGGATGTGAGCCCCTCATGTGAACTGAGCTCAGGAAATGTCGGGATCAAACCTGGTGCCCTAGAAAAGTCATCTTTTATGTGCTGAGCCAGTCCCCAGGGTGTTGTCTTTACTTGTTCCATGGCCATGGAATTAAGAAAAACATGCAAAAATAATTCTTCAGTCCTTGAAGAGCATCCAGCACAGAAGGTACAAACCCTCCTTAAGGCTCCCTCCTCAAATCAGTTTGTCCATTTTGATGTGCACCCCCCCAGGCCTTTATACCCTTCAGATGCCAAGTCTAAGAACCAGCTCCTGGAAACCACACCCCCTGTTCCAACCCCCAGACTGGCTTGAGCATGCGGTGGTGGGGGGAGCCCAGGTGGGCACCCCAGGGGTCTGGTGTCTTCTCCAGGCAGCTCTCAGGCTCCCTTGGTTCTCTCTGCAGTTTACATGAGCTGGTGAAACATGAAGAAAATGGCCTGGTCTTTGAGGACTCAGAGGAACTGGCAGCTCTGCAGGTAGCCACATCTGCCACCACGCCAGGGTGGGGAGGGTTCTGGAGACTGGCACTGAGCCACACTCCCTGATCCCTGCTTCCCACAGCCAGGGTGGGACCATGTGGGATCTGGCGGAAAAGCTAGGGAGGGAGCAGAGGTCACAGAGGCCGGCCCACTCTGCTGTCCCGTTTCGGTACAGTAGGCTCGGGAAAGTTAGGACACACCCCCACCTGCCCTCTGGATTTATGGAGCTGAGACTCCACAAATGATGCTGGAGCCAGGTGGGCCGGGCTGCAGTTTAGGAAGTGATCAGGATCAGGTAGGTGGGCGGGCAAAGGGAGCTTCTGGGACCAGCCTTGAAAGATGGGTGGAATTCTGCAAAGGTTACTTGTTTCTTATTGCTAAAAGTAATACATCATTCTTGCCAACAGAATGATTGGCAGGATTTTCAGTAAAGGTCCAGGTCAGAAGTCATTTAGACTGGGTCCCCCAGTCTCTGTCAGAACCATGGTACTCTGTTGTGGTGTGAAAGTAGCCACAGATCATCTGTAGATTAAGGGGTGTGGCTTTGTTCCAATAAAACTTTATTTACAAACACAGGCTGTGGGCTGGATTTGGCCTGCAGGCTGTAGTTTGTGATCCTTGATTCAGAGAGTTTAGCAAGGCTGAAAAGAACACCGACACCCCCTTGTTACCCACAGATGGGTGGGACTTGGCCAGAGGCCAAGAGGAGGGTGCTCGCAGGGGAACATACAGCACGTTAGAGGCCGGGAGGTGCTCCAGGGCACCAAGTGTGGGAAAGTGGGACATACGGGGAAGTTTCCAGAAAGCATGATGTCAAGTTGGAGGCGGAGCGCTGCTGGGGCGTGAAGAGTCTCGAGTCCAAGTGAGAGAGTTAGGAACTTGGGAGGGGTTGTTGTTGGGTCGGGGACCTGGGGTCAGCCAGGTGGTGACCTGGGATGGGGTGGGGACAGGCAATGAGGTAAGCTCTGCTCTTTATTTTTTTGCAGATGCTTTTCTCAAACTTTCCTGATCCTGCAGGCAAGCTAAACCAGTTTTGGAAGAACCTGCGGGAGTCGCAGCAGCTCCGATGGGATGAGAGCTGGGTGCAGACTGTGCTCCCTTTGGTTATGGACATACAACTCCTGGGCCAGAGGCTAAAACCCCGGGACCCCTGCTGTCCTTCCCGCAGCTTCTTCTCGGAGTCTCAGGGCAAACCCTTTTGAGCAGCGCCTCCCAGTGGCCAGAAGCTGAAATGACGGCAGTGGTGCCGCCTGGTGAATGAATTGGTTCTGTGACCCGGGAAGCTGTGCTTGGCTCTGATTTCTTTTCCGGAGGCTCGGAAACACTTCCTCTCTTCTTCTGTTCTTCATGCCCCATGCCCCTGCTAGCGTATTACTGTTCTGTGACTTCCCTGTGACCTCTGCAGTACTCCTTATCCTGCGTTTGGTCTCCAGGTGTCACCTTTCTGCCGTGTTCCTAACATTTTGATTCCTGTCTTGAAAAAAGCACCTGCTGCATCGTAAGCCCAGGGATGTGGCAGCTGCAGCGGGCTTGGCTTTGTGAAGAACTGAGTGTGTCCGCGGATGTGGCAGCTGCAGCAGTCTTGGCTTTGTGAGGAACCAAGTGTGTCCAGGGATGTGGCAGCTGCAGCAGGCTTGGCTTTGTGAGGAACCGAGTGTGTCCACATACTTGATACACACGTTTTTATTTGCACAAAGAAAATGCTATTTTTGGAGCCAGAGTTTTCATGTCTGAGTGATGGCGATTTCCTTAAGAACCAGAACTGCTGGCAGAAAGGGAGCACCCACACGCTTAGATAGCCGATGTCTTATTAGAGGGCAGTTTGTAGTTCCTGATTTGGAAATTAACATTCTCCAAACATTCCAGTCCAGTGAAAGTTTTATCAGCTTTCCCATATGAAACCTCTTCCCTTGAGAGTGACTTGATTCTCACAATCCCATTGGAGTCGTGTGTGAGTCCTACAGTGTGAGGTTCAGCATTGCCATCTCCAAGTGCTCTTCATAGGGAAACAGTTTCTGGTCATGACGAGGTTCCACTTCCCATCTGATCCTGGCCTGGCCTGGAAACAGAGCACATGTGTTTCAGGATGGCAGTGTTTGGGGACAGGACATGAGCGTATTGTGTGGGGCTGCTAGGACAGGCCTGGCGGGGTGGGGGGGCGGTGTCCAAGTCAGTTTACTTGGTTCACAGGTTCCCAGGCCCACCCAGGTGCCTAGAATTGGCCTCCAGGATGGGACCAGAAATCTGGTTTTGCATAGAAATGGCTAGCAGCGGGCACCATGCCGCTGTCCACTCTCTACCCGCATCTGCCCCAGCACTTGGCACAGCAGGACAGAAGCAGAGATCTGAACCCACATCTACCTGGCTGCTCCGTCAACCCACTCTTCACAAAGCTTAGAAAGCGGCCAGGCACAGTGGCTCACACCTGTAATCCCAACAGTTTGGGAGGCCAAGGCGGGTGGATCACTTTAGTTCAGGAGTTCGAGACCAGCCTGGCCAACATGGTAAAACCCATCTCTACAAAAATACAAAAATTAGCTAGGCACGATGGCGGGTGCCTGTAATTCCAGCTACTTGGGAGGCTGAGGCAGGAGAATTGCCTGAACCCAGGAAGCGGAGGTTGCAGTGAGCCGAGATTGTGCCACTGCACTCGAGCCTGAGTGACAGAGTGAGACTCCATCTCAAAAAAAAAAAATCACACACAGACACACACACACACACACACACACACAGCTTAGAAGGGGCTGGTGTTCTCATAAGCACAGATGTCTGAAGAGCCGTTAGCCAGAATGATCCTTTTTTTTTTTTTTTTTTTTGAGATACGATCTTGTTTTGTCACCCAGGCTGGAGTGCAGTGGCACAGTCATTGCTCACTACAGCCTCGACTCCTGGGCTCTAGCAATCCTCCCATTTCCTGAGTAGCTGGGATGACAGGTGTGTGCCACCATGCTAGTAATTTTTTTATTTTGTAGAGATGGGGTCCTGAATTCATGGCCTCAAGTGATGCTCCTGCCTCAGCCTCTTTTATTATTTTTTTTTAGACAGAGTTTTACTCTGTTCCCCAGGCTGGAGTGCAGTGGTGCAATCTCAGCTCACTGCAATGCCTCCCAGGTGATTCTCCTGCCTCAGTCTCCCAAGTAGCTGGGATTATAGGCATGCACCACCACGCCTGGCTAATTTTTGTGTTTTTAGTAGAGATGGGGTTTCACCGTGTTGGCCAGGCTGGTCTTGAACTCTTGACCTTAAGTGATCCCCTCACCTCAGCCTCCCAAAGCCTCAGCCTCTTACAGTGTTGGGATTACAGGCATGAGACACTGTGGCCCGGGATGATTTTCAGTCACAGTTTTTTGTTACGAGTGGAAAATGCGTATTTATAAAAATGAAATAGTACAGACATGAACGTGTAGAAGTCTCTATAATCCTGCCATCCAAGGATGGCACCTGTTAACGTGTATATCAGGGATGTCCAATCTTTTGGCCTCCCTGCACCACACTGGAAGAAGAAGAATCGCCTTGGGCCACACATAAAATACACTAATGCTAGCAATAGCTGGTGAGCTAAAAGAAAAAAAAATCACAAAAAAACCTCATACTGTTTTAAGAAAGTTTACAGATTTGTGTTGGGCCGCAGGTTGGACAAGCCTGCTCTATATATATTCCAGGTTTTCCCCTATAGGTATACTTATGTGAAAATGATTATTGTGATAATTTTTTTTTGAGATGAAGTCTTGCTATGTTGCTCAAGGGGGCCACAAACTCCTGGGCTTAAGCCATCCTCCCGCCTCAGCCTCCTGAGTAGTTGGGAATATAGGTACTCATAACCATGTGTGGGTGATTATTATTATTTTTTAAACAAAAATGGGGCTGGGTGCAGTAGCTCATGCCTGTAATCCTAACACTTTGGGAGGCTGAGGCAGCAGATCGCTTGAGGTCAAGAGTTCAAGACCAGCCTGGCCAACATGGCGAAACCTCGACTCTACAAAAAATACAAAAATTAGCCAGGCGTGGTAGCACGCACCTGTAGTCCCAGCTACTCAGGAGGCTGAGATGGGAGGATAGCTTGAACCTGGGAGGTGGGAGGTTGCAGTGGGCCGAGATGGCACCACTGCACTCCAGCCTGGGCAATACAAAGCCAGACTCTGTTTCAAAAAAAAAAAAAAAAAAAAAAGGTGGGTGGGGGCTTCTACTATGTGTGCTGCTTGGCACTGTTTTTTTCACTTAAAAGATATTGCAGGTATTTTTTCACGTAAGTATCTGAAGAAAAACTTCCTTTTTTTTTTTTTTTTTTTGCCTTTTTGAGACAGGGTCTTGCTCTGTTGCCTAGGCTAGAGTGCAGTGGTGAGATCAGGGCTCACTGCAGCCTCCACCTCCTGGGCTCAAGCCATCCTCCCACCTCAGCCTCCCGAGTAGCTGGGACTACAGGTGTGCGCAACCATGCCCGGCTAGTTTCTGTATGTTTTGTGGAGATGGGGTCCCACTATATTGCCCAGGTTGGTCTTGAACTCCTGGTGTCAAGAAGTCCTCCTGCCTTAGCCTCCTAAACTGCTGGGATGACAGGCCTGAGCCCCGCGCCCGGCCAGCCTCCTGTGCGAGGTTGTGAGGGACTCTGTCATGGAACCTAGTGTGTCTTCGTGTGCTGGCTTGTTTGTTGGCTCTGTAGTTAACGGGCTGCCCCACGTGGACAGGCATTGGACCCGTGTCTGTGTGTGCAGGCAGAGGCTCCTGCGCGTGCATCTGTGCACATGGCTGCCAGGAGGGGCTGTGCTCAGGGGGAGCTGGGGCAAAGGCTGGTGGCAATGGGGGGCTTGGGTGTAGTGTGGAGGCACGAGAGCCAGGTGGCCGGGCTGCAGTCTGTGGGAGCTCGGGGGTTGCTTAGCCTCTGTGTGTCCTAGTGTCTTTGTCGGTGAGATGGGACAATGATAGCACACTCTCACAGGTGCTGGGGGCTGACAAATGTCAGGTCTGAGGACAGTGGCTGGCCCACTACGGGGTCAATTCCCCTTCTCTATAGTCACCCTGCTCGTCTTCCATCAACTGGGTGCTCAGGACAGTGGCATGGTGGATCCGCCCGTACAGCCTGTGTTCCAGCGTCCTGCAGGCCACAGCTGTGTCCAGCCCTGACCCCGACTGCCCCTCCCACCACCTCCATTTTATAGATGAGGAAACTGAGGCCCAAGGGCTTAGGGAACCCTGCTCTGAAGCACACAGTAGGGCTGCTGGGCTCAGATCCTCCCTCCCTGTGCTGAGCTGCCCTCCTCCTGCCACAAGCCCCCAGCCCCGAGCCCACCCTGCTCACCGGCCTCTGCCCTAGTTCCCCGCATGGTGTGGGAGTGTGGGGCATCCTAGCTTTTCCCCAGCCCCCAGTTCTTTCACTTCCACTGGAGTCCCGCAGGGACAGCTCGGGGACCATGCAGGCCCGGGTGGGCATGGGGGCTCACCTAGCTCGGTGGTGAACAGCTGGCATGTCTCTGGGTTGCGGACAGTAAAGGCCACATAGACCTCAGGAGCCCGCTGGTGCTCCCGGCAGGCAGCCAGCCTCAGCAGGACCCCGACCAGCAACACGATGGCTTCTGGGCAATACAGCACGTCTACGGTGAAAGTTTCAGGTTACTGAAAGGGACCAGCGGACAGTCCCAGGTCATGCTGACCTCAGCAGCAGGGCGAGCCAGAGAGGCAGTGGTCATATGAGACTATTAGATGCCATTTGACCATTTTGGCCATTAGATGGAAAGGCAATTACTTGGGTGAAAAAGGAGAACCCTTAGTAGAGAAAGCTGCAAAAGACCGAAGCAAAAGAAAAAAATCTCCAGACTCACTGGTGTTCCTTAAAAAACGAGCTCTGGTTCTCAGCCTATCTAGAGGGCTGTGAATGACACAAAGCCTGACCCTGCCATGAACTTCGTGTTTCAGGCGTCTGCCGATTTGTCTGCTGGCTTGCAGGGGTGGGCCTGTGTCCCTGGCCACCGCTGGACCTGTGGTTTTCAGGGCTGGGACCCAGGACAACAGGCACAGCTCTGTTCGACCAGAGAGGAGACTGAGTGTGCTGGCAGGGGCGAGGGGTTTTTGGCGGCCCAGCCAAACACCACCTTCTCTCAAGGGCCCTGTCCTCATCCCAGAAGTGGTTGTTTTCCTCCTGTGGTCTCTGAAAGACACAAGCATGGCTCTGGGACAGAGCCATGTGGTGACGACTGTAACGGGAGTATGCCTGTCTCCAACAAGAGGGCTGTGGCTTGAAGGTCACCTTAAGAGGCACCCCTGTCCTTTGATGTCACCCTGGAGGCCCAGAGTAACTCTTCTGGAAGTTCCATCATGTCCATGCCCGATAGCATCCATTGTTCCCTTTTCCCAGAGCCAAGAGCTGGGTAGAGCTGCAAGGACACCGCCTGCACAGGGTGCCCGGGGCTGGGCATTACCTGCTGCAATGACAACATCTGGCTGGATGGCAGAGAGCTGATGGACCATCGCGATGTCCCAGTCCAGCTGGGCCACTGTCACTCTGGGGCTAAGTTGGCAGTGATGTCTGCCTCTAATGAGAGGCCATTGAGAAGGACATTCCCTCGGAGCTGTTTGAGGACCCGGCTGTGACAGTCGCTGAAGATGTATGCCCGGGGGCGGCACATCTTGCAGATGGCCAGGGCTGTGAGGCCAGCACCACTGCCAAGCTCTAGGACAGTCCTGGCGGGAGGAAAGGGGACCATGTCTGCGACTGCACCAGGGTAAGCCTGCCTCGGTCCCCTGCCCTGCACCCCAAGGTCACCTATGAGTGAAGGCTGCCGGGTTCTCGATGGCCCATTCTGCAAGGTAGAGGGTAGCATCCCATGTGACCAGGCCTGTGATGCCTGGGAGATGATGGCTGTGCTCTAGGAGAGTGTGACTGAGCCTCCTGAGGGCTGCACCAAGAGAGGGCGAGAGAGTCATTCCAGCAATCAGAAGGCAAGTGGCTTAGAAGACAAGTAGCCATCCACCACATGGCTGAATAAACCATGACAGGACCAATCGCCACTCAGCAATGAGAAGCAGCTAACTGTTGACATGCCAACAGCTTGTACAGGCCTCAAGGGTGTCACGTGGCATGAAAGACACTCACCTCAGGCCACACAGGATTCCATTCATTGAACATTCCTGAGACAATGGAATTCTGGCGATGGAGCACAGGTCAGTGGTGGCCAGGGGCCAGGTGTGGCTATGAAGGGGTGGCTGCCTTGTGATGATTCAATATGCTATGTTTTTCCTTTGTGGTTTTCTGTATCTATGTTTTATCTTATTTTTTTTGAGCTCTGTTCCCCAGGCTGGAGTCAGTGGCACAATCTTGGCTCACTGCAACCTCTGCCTCCTGGGTTCAAGCAATTCTCCTGCCTCAGCCGCCCAAGTAGGTACGACTACAGACATGTGCCACCATGTCTGGCTAATTTTTCTACTTTTTTTTTAGACAGAGTTTCACTCTCTTTGCCCAGGCAGGAGTGCAATGGCGCGATCTTGGCTCACTACAACCTCCACCTCCCGGTTTCAAGAGGTTCTCCTGCCTCAGCCTCCCGAGTAGCTGGGATTACAGGCGCCCACTACCACACCCCGCTAATTTTTGTATTTTTAGTAAAGACAGAGTTTCACCATGTTGGCCAGGCTGGTCTCAAACTCCTGACCTCAGGTGATCCACCCGCCTCAGCCTCCCAAAGTGCTGGGATTACAGGCATGAGCCATCACGCCTGAACCTGCCAAGTATTCTTTGAGGACTGGGCACCAGGTCCTTGTGAAGCAGGTAGAGTGTGTCACCTATTGGACAAATGCCCAACGACCCCATGAGACATGCTGTTGTTGTTGCAGTGCTTGATTTACAGACAGGGAAACTGAGGCTAAAGAAGGTTGATGGACCTCATGTCTAAGACTGCAGAATGGGTGAGTCAGGATTTGAACCCACACCCACGTTTTCACTTTGTCTGTGCAGGAAGGGTATCTGGGCTGTGAGGGGGAGGAGGGTACCCTTCTCATACCAGCAAATAGCTCCAGTGGCCCTGAGTGGACTCCTTGGCCATCAGGGTCTCCACCAGCACCTCATACAGCTCGTCCAAAGGCTCCGTGTGGACAGCCTCGTGCTGGGGGCAGACAGAGTGAGAGCTTGTTTGCTTTCGTTCTAATCTGTAAAAATGGCCAGATGATTTTCACCAAGTTTGGAGGGGAGATTTGGGATGGAATGGTGTAATACCGGCCAGCTGGCATATAAAATATTCACTTCGTTGGGCGTGGTGGTGTGTGCCGAATAGTCCCAGCTACTCTAGAGGCTGACATGGGAGGACTGCTTGAGCCCAGGAGTTCGAGGACAGCCTGGGCAAGAGACCTTGTCTCTAAAAAAAAAATTCACTTGGTAGGGAAACCTGGATGGGAGGGCCTTCAATGAGAGGTGTTGAGAGGGTAGAGTTAGGTGTAGTTTAGGGCAGGAGACAAGGATTCCGTGAGAGCTGCCACATGACCATGACAGAGAGCAGGAAAACAAAAGGTGCTTTTAAGTGAGCCCAGGCAGAACTGTGAGGGCGGCCCATGCTGCAGGCTGTGGCTGTCAGCAGGCTGCTTCTCCAGGGCTGGCCCCATCCTAAAATTCACAGGGCAGCAGCAGGGTATACTGGGTGACTGCTGCCCTCTCCTGGTGGCACAGGGCAGACCTGCTGGTGACCACAGATGCACCCTTTTGGGGAGGACTAGGGAGAAAGCAGGTATTGGAGAAGCAGGGGATTGTTTATTTGCTAAAAGTGTGGCCCTTTCACTCAGCAGGTCTGCTACTGCCTACTGAGGAACGGCCTCTCGACATCCTTATGTCGAACCCTGCATGTTTGGGCCCATCTTTAAAATCCACCCTAGGCCAGGTGCGGTGGCTCATGCCTGTAATCCCAGCACAATGGGAGGCCGAGGCAGGCGGACCACCTGAGGTCAGGAGTTCGAGACCAGCCTGGCCAAAATGGTGAAACTCTGTCTCTACTAAAAATACAAAAATTAGCCAGGCATGGTGGCATGTGCCTGTAGTCCCAGCTTCTTAGGAGGCTAGGCACGACAGTTGCTTGAACCCAGGAGGCAGAGGTTTCAGGGAGCCGAGACTGTGCTACGGTAATCCAGCCTGGGCAACACAGTGAGACTGTCTCAAAAAAATAAAGAAGTAAAAAATAAAATCCATCCTGTATCAGTCAGGAAAGAGCTCATTCTAGCAGGATCAATGCAGAGAATTCACCAGAGGAACTAGTTCCAAAGGTATGGCAAGAGCTAAACCTTCCAAGAGGGGCCCATGGGGCAACCCAGAGACAGACAAGAGCAGGAAACTCCAAACCCTTCGGCGGGCAGGACAGAGGGTGTGGGTGAGGGTTCCAGTGCTGTGGGCTGGGCCAGCCTGGTAGGAATGAGAATCCATATGCTGGGAGCTGGGGCCCCAGAGAAGCAGCTGCTGCGGAAACCCCAGGAGGCAGAGTGAGGGAGAGACGCTGACCTCCCCTTCTTCCCGCCCTGCACTGTCTCCCATGGGTCACACGTGGCTGCAGCCAGTCGCCTGGGGAGGCCCCTGCCATGCTGGGGTTTGCAAAGCAGGCCCAGGGCCTGGGAAGGATGGGGGCTCTAGCACGCAGGTGGCTATGCTGTCTGGCTACTGGGCAGACACTGCCCATAACTGACCTTTTTGATGAGTTCTGAGAGAAAGCACCGGGCATACTTGACTGACGGCGGGTGCGTCACACACACAGGATGCTTCACAGTCTACAGCAAAGGACAGAACATTGGTTGCTCGAGAGCCCGTCTTAAGTCTCCTATGAGCTTCAAGCCAACACAACAGAGGGCAAACTCCAGGCTACCCCATCTCTCAGCAAAGATGTATGTAGATGGACACAGCATTCTGGCCCCATGCATCTGAAGTTTGTCTGAAGATATAACCCGTTTCCTAAAAATGCTTCCACTGCAGTGGCACAGGCTGTGGCAGCATTTCTAATGCCCATTCTGAGCGGGAACACAGGGCACGTGGGCCCAAACCACCTCCCTCCCAGGGGAGCCAGTGTGAACCAGGGCTTGCAGTAAGGACAGTCGCCAACTGTCTGGCTCTATGGAAGAGGCGGGAAGGCCCACTCGGCAACTGCTCTCTGGGAGTGTGTGTCCCTGGGGACAGGATGGAGGGGAGGGGACGCTCAGGGTGACACTCCAGCTAAAGCCAAGAGAAGCCAAGTGCAGGATGAGCAAGTTCCAGGCAGTGGCAACAGCTGGTGCAAGCTCTGAGGTGGCCACGGGCTGGCACTTGGAAAGGAGGGCAGAGGGACTGGTGCAGCAGGAGTGGGGACGGTGGGAAAACAGGAGCCTGGAGGGAGAGGGAGGAGACAGTCCGCAGTGCCTGCTGGCCGGGAGGGATGCAGATTCTGCCCAAGGGCAGCAAAGTACCCCACACAATACACAGGCTCTTCAGGCTGGTGCTGGTTTTTCATTTTTTCTGACACAGAGTCTCGCTCTGTTGCCCAGGCTGGAGTGCAGTGGCCTGATCAAGGCTCACCGCAGCCTCTGCCTCCTGGGTTCAAGCGATTCTCCTGCCTCAGCCTCCCAAGTAGCTGGGAATATAGGCGTGCACCACCACGCCCAGCTAATTTTTGTATTTTTAGTAGAGATGGGTTTTTGCCATGTTGGCTAGGCCGGTCTTGAAGTCCTGACCTCAGGTGATCCGTCCACCTCAGCTTCCCAAAGTCCTGGGATTACAGGTGTGAGCCAGTGCACCCAGCCTTGTGCTGGGTTTGAAAGCAGCTATCCCTACATTTCATGCTTCACCACCTACAAGAGTGAGGCTAAGGGTGCAACTCAGAGCAGGGTGCGAGATAACTTCAGGTATCTCCATGCTCGAAGCCCTGACCTACTGTATTGCCCCGAAAGTCTTCCCTGCTGTGGCTGCATCTTTTCCACATGGATAATCTTGGTTCACCTCTAGCACAGGAATTCTTCACTGGGGCTCCTAGGATGGGCTGGTTGGGTGGGGGTGGAGAATGTCTGCCTCCAGAGTTTGTATGGAAAATGTATTCTTCTGGTGCACTTCTTTCTGGGACGGAGTCTACTGCTTTGTCTTTTCAGAAGGGCTCATGGCCCTTCACAGGTGAAGACCCAGGATGCAGGGTGATCTGCACTTGGCCCTCAAGGCCAAGGTCAGGCTGTGGCTGGGCCTGGTGGTGATCCTGCCTCTCACCTGCATGCAGATGCTCTTGAGTCCAAACCCCACCCTGGGCAAAGTAAGGGCCCATTTAGGTCTAGAAGAGACAGGAGTGGGCAGGACAGGCCTCATGAATGCAAAAAAGAAAGTCTCTGAGCATCTACCAAATGCTAGAAGCTGTTTTGCACCTGTCATCTCTGTTTTTGCTGTGGATGGTTTAAAAAACTTTCCTTAGATTTCCCCCTCTCATGCAGATTTTTGTATATTCTGATGTCTTTGTCTAAGTCTTAGATAGAAAATGAAAGAGCTGGAGCTGTCAGAGGTGCCAACACCCACCTGCAGTGCTGACTCAATGTTCAATGTTCTTTGAACAGGGGTGTTTTTAAAGGGTACAAGCACACCTGTGGTTCTTCTCTCAGGTCTTCCGGAGAGATTCAGGAGACAGGGTCATGAGTCCCAGGGACTCTGGGATTCTTACCTTCTGCAAAATATCCCGCAGAAGCTCAGAATCTGATGAGTCTGTTAATTTTGCTTCTAAGCTCTGTGTGGACGGGAGAGAGAGAAATCTCAAGGGCGCATTCACAGGAACATTAAACACGCAATAGAATGTGTTGGCAAAGCGCTGTGTGATCTCTCCCTGGGGACGTGGAGCCAGTTGGAAGTGGAAGCCACAGCAGCTGAAAGCCTGACCTTCAGATGTCACAGGGTGCACCTGGATGAGTCACAGGAAGAAGGCTAGAAGACTGACTCTTGGCCACATTAGTCCTGGCTACTTAGCGGCCACCTGGGTCATGGGCCAGCTCCCTGGTTGCACTGGTCAGCCAGGAATTAACAGGGCAGCCATGGCACCAAGGTTTGATGGGCTTGCCATCTGAGTTTAAGTGGAAATGCAGAATGTGCCCATACCAGCCTGGGTTACATTGTCCTCTCACAGGGGCCTCAAGCCCAGCAGCAAACTTTGGCTCCCGAGTTAGGCAGACTGTCTCAGCTGGTATGTGACACAGGGCAAGGCACTTCATTGCTTCAGAGCTCCTTCCATGCTGTAAAAGGCCTTACAAGACCTGGTCCTAATCCCTCTCTCTGGCCTGTTCTCCCTCACCCCTGGCCCACACTGCTCACTCCACTCCAGCCACACTGGCTGCCTTGCTGTTGTTCCTCAACCACAGCTGGCTTGTTTCCACCACAGGGCCTTTGCATATCCTGTTCCCCAAGCCCTTCCCATGGCTGGCTGCTTCACCACTCAGGCCCCAGTTCAAAAGCCACCTCTTTGGGGAAGGCTTCCCTGATTCCCCGACTTTGGTGACTTTTCTCCCCAGTTGCTCCATTCACCATTTCCCTGTTTTATTGGCTTTAAAGCCACTCTCATCTGGTCTTTTCTTGTTTATTTATTTATTTGTTTATTCTCTGGC
Organism: Homo sapiens; assembly: GCF_000001405.40. Taxonomy (NCBI): domain Eukaryota; kingdom Metazoa; phylum Chordata; class Mammalia; order Primates; family Hominidae; genus Homo; species Homo sapiens. The sequence continues at coordinate 125,917,995 of NC_000003.12, read as the reverse complement.
TCTCCCATGCAAGCAGAGCCTCATCTGTCATGGGTACTGCTGATCCATGGTGCCTGGCTCACGGAAGGCATTTATTAAACATTTTGAGACTGAATAAAAACACTAGCTAACACCGACATGCATTTACCATGAGCCAGGCACTGATCCACAGGCTTTTGTACTCAACCCTGACAACAACCCTAAGAGGTAGGTATCATTATATCCCCCATTTTATTAATAAGAAAACAACAGCACAGAGAGATGTAGTCACTTGCCCAAGGTCACACAGGGCCAGGGGTTGGGACAGGATTTGAAGCAGGCAGGCTGTCTCCTGGGTCTGAACTCTCAACTACTGCACCCTAATCAAACAATCCCTCTGGTCAAATGTGAGTGATAATAATAGTACCCACCTCATGGGTGTTGAGGGTGAGCCCAAGTTAGCATTCAGCGTGGGCATGTGAACAATTATAGCCAATATTGAATGGAGACCTATGATGCTTTTATGAAGGTTTCTATTTTGGGTTAAAAATGCACAAATTTCTCCTGACCAGAAATGATCTCTGAGTGCTAAATATTTCATATCAATGGAATAACGCAAATGATTAAGCAACACCCCATAAAATTCCAGGGAGGAATATATATCCAAACTGACTCATCCCAGTGAGCTCACTGCACATGAATTACAAATGGGGCCGGGTGCATTAAGCCCCTCTACTGGCAGAAGGGAGGCTGCTGCCTGCCATGTGCCTGTGCTGAGAATGGTAGGTCCCCAGGGAGACGAGAGGCCACCCCCTTCTCTGTCTCTTCCATCACAGGTGTGAGAGCCTCAGAGCATGAGCCGATTCTGTGCAGTTCTCAACATACAGATGAGAACACTGAGGCACGAGGGGACAGCCTGTGACCTGGTCACCGCGCTCAGGAGGACGTGGTTACCCGCGGTCCTGAGGGCGCTGACTTTTTAGAATGGGCGAGGGCAGCTGTGTCCCAGTGACCAGAACGATTACTGCCTTTAAAAAGTCGTGAAAATGATCGTGAACTGTATCCCACAACGAGTGCGCCTCTGCCCCCTAAGACGGTGGAGAGGCCCCCAGCTTATGCCGCCAGCCCGCGGGGCAGGAAGGGTGTGAGCGACTCTGGCCAGGCCCCAGGGATGGGGACCGGGTCGCGCGGACCTGACTGGCGGGAGCCCAGGCACTCACGTGGCGGGCGTGTCGGGGGCTTCTGCACGGAGACCCATCCCGTCTGCCCCTGGACTCCCGCGAGCCCTGCGGGCCTCTCCGCTCGCCCCGCCGCCCACCTGCCAGGGGAAGGAGCGCAGCGCGCGCGCCGCCAGAAAGCGGCGCTGCAAACTCTGCAGCAAGAGTTAGGTCCCAGCGTTCTCCTCGGGCGCCATGACGTGGGCGGGGCCGCAGTGTTGCCGGGAGACCGTGCGGAAGCCGGGCCTGGACTGAAGACGGGGCGGGCCCAGGGCAGTGCGCGGGGGCAGAGAGGGGGCGGGGCCTGCGGGTAGGGTCAGGAGGAGAGTCGTGGGGGCGGCTCTAGGGCGGGGCCAGGATGAGCGTTATGAGGCGGGGGCTTGGGGTGGGGCCAGGATGAGCGTCATGAGGGCGAGGCCTGGGGTAGGGCCAGGATAAGCGTCGTTGGGGCAGGTCCTGGGGAGAGTTCAGGTTGGCGGGTCCTGGGGCGGGGCCAGGACAGGGCGATCCTGGAAGCGGGGCTTCGGAAGCGTCCAGGTTGGAGGCGTCCTGGAGGCGGGGCCTTGCGTGGGGGCAGGATAAGAGTCCTGGAGGCGGGCGTTAGGGTGGGGGTAAACGATGATTGGGTTCAGGAGGCGAGAGTCGGAGCAGAGCCCAGGAGACAGGTCTTAGGGCGGGGCTAAGGCCAGACCCAGAGAAGGGCTCAGGAGGCGGGGCCAGGGCGGGGCGTTGACTATGTCGTAGCACGTTGCCAGGCACTGCTCGAACTCTGGGAGGCGGATCTTAGGACAGGCCGACGTGGGGAGGGGCCCAGGGTCCGGGAGGCGGGGCCGAGTCTAGGCTGCGGGCTGCGCTCAGGAGGCGGGCCCTGGGAGGCGGAGCTTAGGGAGGGTCCGGTGTTGGCAGGGACCAAGGGACTGGGAGGCGGATCGGGGCTGGGCTCAGGGGCCGAGAGGGAGCTGGGCTTGGGGCGGGGCCGAGACGGAGCGAGGGGTCCAGGGTGTGAGAAACGGGGAGGGGTTTGAGGAGGGGATTGGAGTGTGGCTCAAGTTCGGGAGGCGTTACCTGCGGAGGGTTTGAGGCAGGCCCAGGAGCGAGCCCACGGTCTGCCGACGCGGGGCCAGCGGCGGGCCCCAGGATCCGGAGCTTCGGGCGGGGCCGAGTCCAGGTTTGGGGCCCGGGAGGTGGGGCCGGTTAGGGCGAGGGTCCCCGGGATCGTAGTGTCAGGCCTTGGGCCAACGTAGGCACTCGCAGTTCCTCCGCCTTCAGGAAGGTCTTTTTGGCAGGGGCCTTACGGGTGCGCGCTTCGGTCCTGGAGGCGTTATCCTAGCCTCCTCTCCATCAGCGCCACCCGTCTGGGGCCCGATAGGAGGGAGCTTTCTGTCTGTCCCCCAGCCTTTGGACTGTCACCAAACAAGCCATCCGTTCACCAAATACTTATTAAGCGCCTACCATGTGTCTGGCAAGGGAGGTGTAACAGTGAGAAAAACTAGGTGTGGTCCAGGCCCTCCAGGGGCTCAGGGGCTCGTGGAAGAAGTGGACATTGAAGTACTTACCACACAAATGAGCATGAAAGTACAATAGCAATATCTGCCACGAAGGCGAGCAGACAGAGCTAGCAGGGCTTCCAGGAGGAGTTTTGATCTTGCAGGGACAGGAAGGAGGAGTTAGCTCCTGGGGGGCGGGATTGGGGGTGGTGGTGATATAGACGTGGGGACAGAGTGGAAAACAACAAAAATATAATTATTTTAGTTCAAAGTTATTGTGTCTTGAGTTGAAAGGCAGGGCAGTTAGCGACACGGTTCAGATTTCAGTACTGCCCCTGAAATCTGAATTGTGTTCAAAGTCTAAAACGTTTACCTTAGCAAATCCCTCATAAAACTCCATTTGGAAGAGTCCCGAGAGCTAATTTGTTAAGTATACTTGCAGAAGGTAGATGAGGAGACAGATTAAATCTTATTACCTCTTTCAGATGAGAGGCACTTGAGCCCTGCTCAGCCGTGAGAATAAGAGGGGGAATTAATTCTAATTGAATACACTTGTTCTCTCACAGCTGTTGTTCCCCACCAGAACCAAATGAGCGCAAGATCTGACAAAGAAAAAAAAAGGTTCATCTTTTATTCCGCCAAACACTTTCATCTAAATCAAGAGGGTGGGATGTGGTTATTGCTGTGTTTTTAGACAGAATCAACAGTTTCTGGGTCTGAGATATTGCATACACCCTCTCAGTCCCTGTATCCTCAGATGGAGTCACCTGAGAATCCACAGCAAGTCCTAACCGGGGATGGGTCTGGGTGGTTAAGGAAGGTTGGCCTCAGAACTGGGCCAGGGGCACTGCTTTGCTTTTGCTGTTTTGATCAGCTCTCTGCCCGCAGGAGACAAGGAAAACCAATGGGAACAGGTTAGTTACACTCATAAATCCTGGGCTTATTTTATTAACTCACATAATAGCTATTAATTGCCTTTCCTCCAAGGAGCAAAAGGGCATATACGGTCAATGCTATAATAAGTAACACTGTATTATGTTATACTAAAATATTAATAAATCTAGGTTGGTTCAGTCTTTCCTGATTCCATAGATTGGAAGCGGATTGAGGAAGGACCCTAGCGGACCACAGAGCTGAGCCATGCACACAGAAGAAATCTTTTCTTCTTTTTTTTTTTTTTTTTTTTTTTTTTTTGAGACAGAGTTTCACTCTCTTGTTGCCCAGGCTGGAGTGCAATGGCGCAATCTCGGCTCACTGCAACCTCCACCTCCCGGGTTCAAGCGATTCTCCTGCCTCAGCCTCCCAAGTAGTGGGATTACAGGCGTGAGCCACCATGCCGGGCCATGTTTGTATTTTTAGTGGAGACAGGGTTTGAACACGTTGGCCAGGCTGGTCTCAAATACCTGACCTCAGGTGATCCGCCCGCCTCTGCCTCCCAAAGTGCTGGGATTACAGGCATGAACCACCACGCCCGGCCAGAAGAAATCTTTATTTTGGTGTGCGGGCTCGGATGAGGGCCAAATGTCATCTATCTTGGATCTGAATCTGGAAGGATCAAGGCACTGAAGGGATTTTTTTGTTTCAGAGAGTCTCCCTCTGTTGCCAGGCTGGAGTGCAGTGGCATGATCTCGGCTCCTGCAACTTCTGCCTCCCAGGCTCAAGCGATTCTCCTGCCTCAACCTCCCGAGTAGCTGGGACTACAGCCACGCGTCACCACGCCCAGCTAATTTTTGTATTTTTTAGTAGAGACAGGGTTTCACCATGTTGGCCAGGAGTGTCTCAATCTCTTGACCTCATGATCCATCTGCCTTGGCCTCCCAAAGGGCTGGGATTACAGGCGTGAGCCACCATGCCCGGCCTCACTGAAGGGATTTTTTTTAATGTCACGTGGCTCTCACAGGTGCAGTGTGTTCAGGTGCAAGTGAAGATTAGGACTGATGCTTAAAACCAAACGTAAAATTCCAGGTGGTGTTACTATGGGGAAGAGCATTAGGACAATCTGAATGGTTTCAGTTGCAAGAGTGTGCGTATACGTGCAAGAACTACAGTCAAGATTCAACTTCTGGCTTTGAGGGTCTCTTTAATAACAGTAATAACAACCTAAGGCAGTTTAACAGTATGGAATGGTTGCCTTTTAGAAATTAAGCTATGGGCATGGAAGTTCAGTCAGTACATTGAAGTTTTTCCTTTATCTCTCCTATGGTTAATGGTTTCTGCAGAAAAGGACCAATTGATTTCTTTCTAAAACGTTGCTTCAGGGTGTAGGGACCTTTATAGGTCATGTTTCAACTTACAGAAAATTTTATAGTTCAAATATAAATTACGTTCAATGTGGACTTTGTAATAGAATTTAAGGTTAAGTAAAGTTTCTGCTTTCCTTAGGCTGTTTGCAGTGCCCAGCAGGCCCCATGATATTGAGATGGAAGTTATGTTAAAGGAGGAGATCGGTCAGGGATGGGCAGAATAAGGACTATGGGCAGCTCAGGCTAATGATACAATGATTGAGGTGTAGAAAGAGGGCCAGGCACGGGATAACGCCTATAATCTCAGTGCTTTGGGAGGCCAAAGCAAGAGGATCACTTGAGGTCAGGAGAGCAGCCTGGTCAACAGAGTGAGACCTAATCTGTACAAAAAAAAAAAAATAGTTGGGCATGGTGGTGTGCTCCTGTAGTCTCAGCCACTTGGAAGGCTGAGGTCAGGGGATCCCTTGAGCCCAGGAGTTTGAGGCTGCAGTGAGCTATAATGACATAACTGTACTCCAGCCTGGGGGATAGGGTGAGGCCCTGACTCAAAAACAATTGAGTCAGGGAAAAAATTGGAAATCTTAATCCTCCGTAGCCAGGAATGTGACCTTATTTGGAAATAGGGTATTTGTAGATATAATCAAGTAATGATGAGTCATACTGGATTGGGGGCTGCTGGTAAGGAGGCAGATGCAATGACTGGTGTCCTTGTAAAAGGAAAGAATGAGGGCTGGGCATGGTGGCTCATGCCTGTAATCTCAGCACATTTTGGGAGGGTGAGGTGGGCGGATCACTTGAGGTCAGGAGTTCGAGACCAGCCTGGCCAACATGGTGAAACTCCATCTCTACTAACAACACAAAATTAGCACTGCGTGGTGGCGGGCGCCTGTAATCTCAGCTACTCAGGAGGCTGAGGTGAGAGAATCGCCAGAACCTAGGAGGCGGAGGTTGCAGTGAGCCAAGATTGTGCCACTGCACTTCAGCCTGGGTGACAGAGGGAAACTCCATCTCAAAAAAATAAAATAAGAGAGGAGAATGTCAGGTGAAGACAGAGACAGAGGGAGATGGCAGCCATGTGATGAGGGAGGAGAGATTGGAGCGATGCATCTACAAGGAACACCAAGCATTGCCAGCGGCCACCAGAAGCCAGGAGAGGCAAGGAAGTATTCTCTCTTACATGTTTCAGAGGAAGCGAAGCCCGGCCGACACCTTGATTTTGGGCTTCTAGCATCCAGGCCTGCGAGACAATACATTTCTGTTGTTTTCAGCCACATGCAGGGCCCTCGTTGTTGTTATGGTTTTTTTTTTTTTTTTTTTTTTTTTGGAGTTGGAGTTTCACTCTTGTGCCCCAGGCCGGAGTACAATGGCACGACCTCGGCTCTCTGCAACCTCCTCCTCCCAGGTTCAAGCTATTCTCCTGCCTCAGCCTCCTGAGTAGCTGGGATGACAGGCATGCACCACCTTGTCCAGCTAATTTTTGTATTTTTAGTAGAGATGGGGTTTCACCATGTTGGCCGGGCTGGTCTCAAAATCCTGACCTCAAGTGATCCGCCTGCCTCAGCCTCCCAAAGTGCTGGGATTACAGGCATGAGCCACCGTGCCTGGTCTTGTGGATTTTTTTTAGACAAGATCCCGCTGTGTCATCCAGGCTGGAGTGCAGTGGTACAATCTCAGCTCCTGCAGCCTTGACCTCCCTGGGCTCAGGTAATTTTCCCATCTCAGCCTCCAAGTAGCTGGGACTACACGCTTGGCTAATTTTTGTATTTTCTGTAGAGATGGGGTCTTGCTATGTGGCCCAGGCTGGTCTCAAACTCCTTGGGCTCAAGCCATCTGCCTGCCTTGGCCTCCCAAAGTGCTAGGATTACAGGCATGAGCCACTATCCCTGGCCACCCTTGTTAAAAAATAAAGAATTTCAAGATGGTGATGGCAGATTATTAAACCACAGTGGGGACTCTTCTGTGTCCCTGTGGGACTGTCCAGGTTGCAAGCCCATGAATCCGGCCCTGGCTGCTGGGCTCTTGGAGTGCTGGACCTCCCGTGGCATGTGGCAAGGAGTTGTCATGGGTTATCAAGACATATGATGATCAACTACGGGAGACTCAAATACCACTCAGTCCTTTTTCCATTGAATTGCTGTGTATGTCACACTAGTAACAAACAGAACCGCAAGAGCTCCTGTGACAATGCTGAGCCTGATCACTGCGCCTTGCAGAGCAGATGCCCTCTGCACCTCCGCTCCTGTTAAGAAACCAGAGGGTTTTTAATTGTCTGTTCCCATCTAGCCGCTAGTGAGTATTAATTATGGAAATGAAGTGTACATTTAACCCAAGAAAATGCTCACTCTAGAGAAATCTCATAGGGGAAGTCGTTGAAAGCCGATTTACTAAATGACCTCTTCGCCAAATGACCCATTTGCCTAATGACCACTTTGCCAAATGATCAGTTTGCTGAAAGCCAATTCGCTGAAAATCTGTTTGTGGGATGTCCTGCTTATCAGTAACTGACAGTCAGACGCAGATTATCCCAGGCTCCCAGTGGGATGTGGGACAGGGGAGGGGCTACAAAATAGTTGTAGCAAAACTCCAAAACTTAAAAAGAAGAAAAATCCTCCATAATTTGGTGAATTGGTCATTCATTTAATTAGTTTTCTACAAAAGGGACTGCTTTCTGTATGTTCACAAGGAGATCATGGGCAGTGGCTTACAAGAAGAGAAAGGATGTATATCACCCCTGCCCTCCCTTCTTTTCCTTTTTTTTTTTTTTAAGGCAGGAATCGGAGTGCCGTAGTACAATCACAGCTCACTGCAGCCTCAAACTCCTGGGTTCCAGCGATCCTCCCGCCTCAGCCTCCCCAGTAGCTGGGGCTACAGGCATGTGACACTACATCCAGCTAATTTATTGTAGAGACAGGGTCTCACTATGTTGCCCAGGCTGGTCTCAAGCTCCTGGCCCCAAGTGATCCTCCTACCTCATCCTCCCAAAGTCCCAAGTATGAACCACGGTGCCCAGGCCATTACTCCTTTTTGCATGTAATTGCTTTAAGTGCTCGTTAGATCACTGGACAGTATCCAAGTCTCTCCTGGGAAAAGGAAAGATAGCCAGTGTTTGTAAACAACCCACAAAAGAAGGCAACAGCAAATTCTGAGATGATTTTATTCTTCCTTTGTATTACCCAGATTGAAGGGGTTTGAAGTCTTGAGAATTTGCAGTCTCGTTTCAGACTCTCCCCTCTCCTTTTTTCAGTATCGAGTGAACAGCAGGGTTTTGCTCCTCCACTATGAAGAGCTTTCTGTGCTATTGAAGGAGGGCAGATTTCCGTATCTGGAAGGGGCATCTTGGGGGCAGTCTGTACACAGTGATTTCCTTAGGACCGGAAGGATTACAGCCCGACTTTCTCTATAGAGCAACTTCCCTTTGCCTAAAAGGCACTATGTCAAATGTTACCAGCAGGTCGAGGGATTCCCTACCTCCCGTGCTATCTGTTTGGAGCTATTGGAATCTTGTTCCTGGGGCTCCAAAGCTGCTGGGAAACAGGATTGTTCTGCTTGAATTCCCTCCTCCCCACCATGAGACCACTTTTTGATTCTTTTCTATCTCAGGACAGAGCAGACTCTGCTGACAGTTTTCTGGCAGCTGCTTTTGTGTCTCACCTGGCTGCTGGTCATAAGAGCTCATGAGCATTTCCTGGGTGACTGCCAGGGAGCCGTTGTGGGTTTGGGGGTGACTCCCAGGAGCTTACACACGAATGGGTAGATGTGGATGCTGTTAAAAGGCTCGGCCAGGCGATTCCTCTTGAAATCTGGCCCGAAATCTCTGAAGATGGTCTTTATATCCATGAGGACATTATCAAAGCCATGGCTGCCTTTGTTGAAACACATTATAATTCTCTGAAAAATAATAACAATAAAAAAGCCATTTTAGATTCCAATCCGCTGAAAGAAAACTGTCCCTTAGTTAATGTCATGCTTGTTGGATCCATGAAGTCTTTGAGAATTTAAACTACAAGGACACTGCTCTCTGTGGTGGTGGAGGGAATACCAAGGATTTAAAGGTCTTTAAGAAAGAGAATGTAGAAAGCGTACCCATTGGAAACAGCAAGATGATGATAATCGTACTGACAGTAATAATAAGCTCAAATATATGGAGCTTACTATGTATCATGAATTGTTCTGAATGCTTCATAAATATACGTTCCCTCCTTTACCCTCATGGCAGCCCAGTAAAGGCGCCATTCCCCATTTTACAGCTGGGGAAACTGAGTTACAGAGCTTGTCTACACTGAGTCAACAGGAGCAAATGCTAGATCAGGTAATTGAACCCAAGCAATCCGGTTCCAGAGCCAAATAGATGTATTTTTTTATGGTATAAATACACATACATACATTTTTAGGGGAAGGGTGGGGGTAGGATGGGATGAGGATTCTGGGTAATTGCTTGGTAAATGCCAAAAACCTTTCTTGTCTCTCCCTCTTTTCAAATGATAAAGAAATGTCAATTGCAACACTTTTTTTTTTTTTTTTTGAGACAAGGTCTAGCTGGAGTACAGTGATGCAGTCATAGCCCACTGCAGCCTCAAAATTCCTGGGCTCAAGCAATCCACCCACATCAGCTTCCCAAGTAGTTGGGACTACAGGCCCACACTACTATACCCAGGTAATTATTTTAATTTTTGTAGAGATGGCAGGTGGCGGTGAGGGGCGGGCAGTTTTGCTATGTTGCCCAGGCTGGTCTCAAACTCGACCTCAAGTGAACCTCCTGCCTCAGCCCCACAAAGCTCTGGAATTATAGGCATGAGCTACTGTGGCTGGCTACAACACTATTTATTTATATTTTAGACCAACAGATATTCTAGCATATAAGAAATGTGATGCTCTCTGTACATTGAAGAGTTGGTCTAATATTTGGCCTGGTGGATACAGAAATTGCCTGTCTGCTCCGCTCTGGTTGAAGAAACCAGTCCGACTGTCTCTGAGGCTATGGAGCAGTCCATCAAGAATGAAAGCCCTCGGCTGGCACGTTGGCTCACACCTGTAATACCAGCGCTTTGGGAGGCTGAGGCAGGTGGATCACTTGAAGTCACGAATTCGACACCAGCATGGCCAACATGGTGAAACCCTCTCTCTACAGAAAATAGAAAAATTAGCTGGGCCTAGTGACGTGTGCCTGTAATCCCAGCTACTCAGGAGGCTGAGGCAGGAGAATCACTTGATCCTGGGAGGCAGAGCTTGCAGTGGGGAGCTGAGATCACACCACTGCCTTCCAGCCTGGGCGACAGAGTGAGACTCTCTCAAAAAAAAAAAAAAAAAAAAAAAAAAGAAAGTCCTCATGATGGCCTCAAGCACATTGGTCCCTGAAGAGAGTCAAGGAAGGCCCACTTTACTCTGCACTGCAAAGCAGGCAGGTGGACAGGATGAGAAGTGGATTCAGTGAGAGGCATTGACTCAAAGGATTTTCTGCCTAATGGTCGGTTCAGCAGAAGATTAAACTGAGCACAGCATCCTGTTCCCTCAAACTATCTGGTTGGTCAGTGGGGAATGTTCTTGTCTCATTAAATGTCCTCATGCTACTGTCAAGATATCCTGTTACAAAACATCATAAATCAGGTTTACAAATAGGCCAGGTGACTGCGGAATTTCTCCTTGGCAAGGCCTTAGCTATGGGCGTGCGATTGGTGTGCAGTAATCACAGTGTTCCGGGCCACTTGAGGGATAAAATATACCTTAGGTGATAAACCATTATATTTTAATGTGAATATTTCCACCAACATTAAACAGTAACCCCATGAGTTTTCTCATACCTGTTACACTCTGGAGTTGCAACAAGCTAACATGAAGCAAGTTGCAAACAGAATTATCGCATTTGGCCCCTATTCACAGCAAGGGTTCTTCAAGCTGTACCTGGGACAGTCTTCCCTCACATGAGGTTTATAGCATCATTTATTTAATTATTTATTTATTTTTTGAGATGGAGTTTCTCTCTGTCGCCCAGGCTGGAGTGCAATGGTGCGATCTTGGCTCACTGCAACCTCCGCCCCCCCGGGGTTCAAGCGATTCTCCTGCCTCAGCCTCCTGAGTAGCTGGGATTATAGGCACCTGCTACCACGCCTGGCTAATTTTTGTATTTTTAGTAGAGATGGGGTTTCACCATGTTGACCGGGCTGGTCTCAAACTCCTGACCTCAGGTGATCTACCCGCCTCAGCCTCCCAAAGTGTTGGGATTACTGGCGTGAGCCACGGTGCCCGGCTATAGCATCATTTAAACTTTGTTTCTGCCATGAATTGTTAGTTGGTAGTTAACAAAAAATAGACCACCTCATTTATGTCTCACAGTTAGCATTGGTTTTTGTGTTTTCTTTAGGCTTGTCTTTTAACTGTTTTTAAAATTGTGAAACACGGCCTTGTTCTGTTGCTGACGCCAGAGTGCAGTGATACAATCTTGGCTCACTGCAGCCTCAACCTCCTGGGCTCAAGCAATCCTCCCCCTTTAGCCTCCTGAGTAGCTGGGACTACAAACACGGGCCACCACCGCTGGCTAATTTTTAATTTTTTTTTTGAAATGGAGTTTCGCTCTGTCACCCAGCAGGTTGGAGTGCAGTGGCGTAATCTCGGCTCACTGCAACCTCCACCTCTCGGGTTCAAGCGATTCTCCTGCCTCAGCCTCAGCATCCACAACCATGCCTGGCTAATTTTTAAAAAATATTTTTAGTAGCGACAGGGTTTCACCATGTTGGCCAGTCTGGTCTTGAACTCCTGACCTCAAGTGAACCACCTGCCTTGGCCTCCCAAAGTGCTGGGATTACAGGCGTGAGCCACCGCGCCAAGCCTAATTTTTAAATTTTTTGTAGAGACCAGGTTTTGCCATATTGTCTAGGCTGGTCTTGAACTCCTGGGCTCAAGTGATCCTCCTGCCTTGGCTTCTCAAAGTGCTGGGATTACAGGCATGGCCCTTATGCCTGGCTCTTAAAGCTGCTTTTTAATAACAGGCTTACTAAAAGATAATTCACATACCATACAATTTACCCATTTCAAGTGTACAATTTGGCCGGGCATGGTGGCTCACACTTGTAATCCCAGCACTTTGGGAGGCTGAGGTGGGAGGATCGCTTGAACCCAAGAGTTTGAGATGAGCCCGAGCAACATGGCAAAACCCTGTCTCAACCAAAAATACAAAAAAATTAGCTGGGCATGGTGGGTGTGTCTGCAGTCCCAGCTACTGAGGAGGCTGAAGTGGGAGGATGGTTTGAGTCCGGGAGGTGGAGGGTGCAGTGAGTTGAGATTGCACCACTGCCCTCCATCCTCGGCAACAGAGCCAGACCCTGTCTCTAAATAAATAAATAAAGTGTATAATTCAGTGGTTTTTAATATATTCACAGAGTTGTGCAGCCATCACCACCATCAGTTTTAGAGATTTTAATTACCCGAGGAGAAACCCTGTATCTATTAGCAGTCACCCTTTATTTCCCCCTGACTATCCCCACCCCTGGCTCCTGGCAACCATTAATCTACTTTGTTTCTTTGGATTTTCATATTCTGGGCATACATACATATATATGTGTGTGTGTGTGTGTGTGTGTGTGTGTGTGTGTGTATATATAGAATCAGCTACTATTTGTCTGGCTTCTTTCACTTAGCCTAATGGTTTCAAAGTGTATCCAGGTTGTAGCATGAATCAGCTCTTCATTCCATATTTTGGCTGATTAATGTTCCATCCATCACACGGGTAGACTGTACTTGTTTGCCCATTCATCTGTTGTTGATAGGCATTTGTGTTGTTGCCACCTTTTGACAATTATGAATAATTTTGCTACGAGTATCTGTGTGTGTCTTTGTATGAACAGGCTTGCATATTTTTTGATATGGGCAAATGAGTACTAGTGGCGGGAGGCCTTTGTGGTGAATTTTTTGGTGATCTTTGTGTACTCTGTATAATGATCACCCACGCAGGCTTGAGGGCAGCACTAAACCTTAAATTTCTTTCTTTTTTTTAAGATAGGATCTCTCTCTCTCTGCCACCCAGGCCAGAGCGCAGTTGATGCAGGTCAGGGGAGCCCCCCAGTGGAGCATAGTGTGTCCAGAACTGGTGGGTTGTTGGTCTCACTGACTTCAAGAATGAAGCCACGGACCCTCGGGGTGAGCGTCACAGTTCTTAAAGGCGGTGCGTCCGGAGTTTTTTCCTTCTGATGCTCGGATGTGTTCAGAGTTTCTTCCTTCTGGTGGGTTGCTGGTCTCACTGGCTTCAGGAGTGAAGCTGCAGACCTTCAAGGTGAGTGTTACAGCTCACAAAGGCAGTGTGGACCCAAAGAGTCAGCAGCAGCAAGATTTATTGCAAAGAGCAAAAGAACAAAGCTTCCACAGTGTGGAAAGGGACCCCAGTGGGTTGCCACTGCTGGCTTGGGCAGCTTGCTTTTATTCTCTTATCTGGCCCCACCCACATCCTGCTGGTTGGTCCATTTTACAGAGAGCCGATTGGTTTGTTTTACAGAGAGCTGATTAGTCCATTTTGACAGGGTGCTGATTGGTGTGTTTACAATCCCTGAGATAGACACAAAAGTTCTCCAAGTCCCTACTAGATTAGCTAGATAGAGAGTGTCCATTGGTACACTCACAAACCCTGAGCTAGACACAGGGTGCTGATTGGTGTGTTTACAAACCTTGAGCTAGATACAGAGTGCCGATTGGTGTATTTACAATCCCTTAGCTAGACATAAAGGTTCTCCAAGTCCCCACCAGACTCAGGAGCCCAGCTGGCTTCACCAGGTGGATCCCGCACTGGGGCCGCAAGTGGAGCTACCTGCCAGTCCCGCGCCCAGCGCCGGCACTCCTCAGCCCTTGGGTGGTCGATGGGACTGGGCGCTGTGGAGCAGGGGGCGGTGCTCACTGGGGAGGCTCAGGCCTTGCAGGATCCCACAGTGGGTGGTGGGGAGGCTCAGGCATGGTGGGCTGCATGTCCCAAGCCCTGCCCTGTGGAGAGGCAGCTAAGGCCCGGTGAGAAATTGAGCACAGCAGCTGCTGGCCCAGGTGCTAAGCCCCTCACTGCCCAGGGCCGGCGGAACTGGCTGGCCGCTCCGAGTGTGGGGCCTGCCGAGCCCATGCCCACCCGGCACTCGCGCTGGCCCGCAAGCGCCACGCCCAGCCCCGGTTCCCGCCCGTGCCTCTCCCTCTACACCTCCCCGCAAGCTGAGGGAGCCGGCTCCAGCCTCGGCCATCCCAGGAAGGGGCTCCCACAGTACAGCGGTGGGCTGAAGGGCTCCTCAAGTGCTGCCAAATTGGAAGCCCAGGCAGAGGAGACACTGAGAGTGAGCTCCAGGGCTGCCAGAACGCTGTCACCTCTCAATAGCACATGAGGGTTCTTGCCTTTGCCCAGGAAAGAATTCAAGGGCAAGCTGGAGGTATAGAAGAAAACAGCTTTATTGAAGAGGCAGCGTTACAGCCCTGTGACTGCTCCTGTAGGGCAGGGCTACCCTGGAGGTGGAGAGTAGCGGCAGAGAGTTTGCAATCACATTTATACCCACTTTTAATTGCATGCAGATTAAAGGGCAGTTTATGCAGAAATTTCTAGAAAATTGGTAGTAACTTTTGAGTCATTGGGTCATTGCCATGGAAAGGGGCAGTAACTCCCGGGTGTTGCCATGGCAATAGTAAACTCACATGGCACACTGGTGAGCATGTCTGATGGAAAGCTTCTTCTGTCCCAGCCCTGTTTTAGCTAGTCCTCAATTTGGTCTGGTGTCCAAGCCCTGCCTGTGGAGTCAAGTCCTGCCTCCTATCTTACAGTGGCGTGATCATGGCTCACTGCAGCCTCAACACCCCCAGGCTCAAGCAATTCTCCCACCTCAGCCTCCTGAGTTGCTGGGACCACAGGCACGTGCCACTGTGCCCAGCTACATTTTTTTGCATTTTTTGTAGAGATGGTGTTTCACTGTGTTGCCTAGGCTGGTCTCAAACTCCTGGGCTCAAGCAATCTACCGACCTTAGCCTTCTAAAGTGCTGGGATTACAGGTGTGAGCCGCTGCACCCAGCCCAACCTTCCATTTTTAATCTCAAGTCACTTCTTTCTAGGTTTTGATTTCTTCTTTAAAATGGTGGAACTAAGAACATCTATTTTATAGGGTTGTTGGGAAGACAAAAATGAAAGCACTGCTATTCAATGTTTAGTGAAGCACTATGCACAATTTTGAATAATGAAGTTGGTGTTTATTTTTTATTATTTGTTTATTTCTTAGAGACGGGGTCTTGCTCTGTTGCTCAAGCTGGAGTGCAGTGGTGCAATCACAGCTTACTGCAGCCTTGACCTCCTGGGCTCAAGAAATCCTGCCACCTCAGCCTCCTGAGTAGCTGGGACTACAGGCATGCATCGCCATGTCTGGCTATTTATTTATTTGTTTGTTTTTTATAGAGATGGGGTCTCCTTATGTTGCCCGGGCTGGTCTTGAACTCCTCGCTTTAAGCAATCCTCCTGTCTTGGCCTCCCAAAGCACTGAGATTACAGGTGTGAACCACCATGGCCAGCCTTATTTTTATTTTTAAATCAGCCTTGTCAAGTTGAATTGGTCATTAATCTTGTATAATGGTAATTTGGGGCAGCATTGGTTGGGCGGGGGGTGGGGAACATTTAGGACCCTGTGGGCTACAACTCGTAGTGTGTGCACTTATTTTATTTTATTTTATTTAGTTTTGTTTTGTTTTATTATATTATATTTTTTTGAGACAGGGTCTCACTCTGTTGCCCAGACTGGAGTGCAGTAGCATGATCTTGGCTCACTGCAACCTCTGCCTCCCAGGTTCAAGCGATTCTCCTGCCTCAGCCTCCAGAGTAGCTGGAACTACAGATGCACGCCACCACGCCTGGCTAATTTTTGTATTTTTAGTAGAGATGGGGTTTCACCATGTTGGCCAGGCTTGTCTCAAACTCCTGACCTCAGGTGATACCCACCGTGCCTGGCTGTGCACTTATGTTTGATTTTTGCAGAACCACCCTTCCCTAATGGTTGTCTCCTAGTTCCAAAGTGACTTTATTCATTTTAGAATGAACTTACCCCATTGATACTGTAACCACAGTTGGCATACATCATGATTGGCAGAACTTGGTCATGTTTAGCGAGATGGAAGTCTTCTGGAAACTCCTTCTTGTAGACGTGGAGGTCAGGGTGCACATTCTTCAGTGCCTGGTAAAGGGCTTCCTCTTGCCCCAATTTGGTTAGGGGCATCCCAAAGCCACCGTAGCCCACAATATCAAACTTGACACAGTCCCTGAACTTGATGTAGTTGGACAAGGGATCTTGTTGACATTGGGTCTCTTCTTCACGGTGGTCATCCCATGGTCTCATGTGATGATGACGCTGAGGTGCTCTGCAGGCTGTGCTTCTCAGTGGCTCCCACCAGATACCCGATGGTCCTGTTGATTTGCTGAATCATCAACTTCCTGTTCTCTGCCTCTGGCCTGAATCGATGTCCCATGTTATCTGGCTCTCTGTAGTACAGAGTCACAAAGTCAAATTCTTCCTTGGTGAACCAGTTCAATACGGTATCGATGTTCTCCCTCCGCTCTGTCTCCTTGCTGTTCGGGTGAGTGTAGGACTCCACCAGGGACCGCTTGACAGCCTCACCCTCATATTTAGCACCTCCCCTGGAATAGTGGGATGATGCTGCTTTGTTCCCCTGCAAGTACAAGAAGAAAATTCCATCAGGGCCATTTCTCATACCTTTCTCACAATCAGCAAAGCTCGAGTTGTCTACATTTGTACCCCAGTCCAAAGACGTAGAAAATATGTGGTCTTTGGAGTCAGACAAGGTGGAGTTAGATTCTGGGCTTCCCCAGGATCTCATAGCATCTACAACACTGTTAGTTACAAGATGTGCTATTATTTTATGGGCTACTAAGCAGAAAAATGCTGCCAACGAGACCGTGACATTCCAGTGATTGTAAGGTGTATTCCAACTTCAGAGATGGCAAAATGAAAAATGATTCCTTAGAATAGAGGGAGACGGTAATTTCTGAGTTGGTGGTGGTGAATCCGTGCATGTGTGTTTTTTATATATATACACACATATATATACACACACATATGTATAGATATGTGTATATATAGACATACCTATATACATACACATATATATGTGTGTATATATAGTGGTGCAGTGGTACAATCATAGCTCATTGCACCCTTGAACTCCTGGGCTTAAGCGATCCTCCCACCTCAGCCTCTTGTGTAGCTGGGGCCACAGGCATGTACCACCATACCTTTTTTTTTTTTTTTTTTGAGACACGGTGTCACTCTCTCACCTAGGCTGGAGTGCAGTGGCACGATCTCAGCTCGCTGCAACTTCTGACTCCTGGGTTCAAGCAATTCTCTTGCCTCAGCCTCCCAAGTAGCTGGGATTATGGACACGTGCCACTATGCCCAGCTAAGTTTTGTATTTTTAGTTGAGATAGAGTTTTGTCGTGTTGGCTAGGCTGGTTTCGAACCCCTGGGCTGAAGTGATCCACCTGCCTTGGCCTCCCAAAGTGCTGGGATTACATGTGTGAGCCACCGCACCTAGCCCTAATTTTTTTTTTTTTTTTTAGTGTTTGTAGAGATGAGGTCTCGCTAATTTGCCCAGGCTGGTCCTGAACTCCTGGGTTCAAGTAATTCTGCCTCAGCCTCTCAAAGTACTGGGATTACAGGTGTGAGACACCGCTCCTGGCTGGTGGTGAGTTTTAGCATTTTCCAGTGTCTCAGTGTTTCTACCTGTAGAATGCCAAAAAGTAGATGGCATCTTTGCGAGGATTAAGCCAACTAGCTTTTTTTTTTTTTTGGAAACAGAATTTCTCTCTTGTCACCCAGGCTGGAGTGCAATGGCGTGATCTTGGCTCACTGCAACCTCTGCCTCCTGGATTCAAGTGATTCTCCTGCCTCAGCCTCCCAAGTAGCTGGGATTACAAAGCCAGCTAGCTTTAAGATACAGTGTTGGGTATCACATTTTGGCACAAAGCAGGCAATCTTTTCTTTGACCCCAGGTGGGACTAAGCCACCGCAAGCCTTCCCTGGTGTGTGCAGTGAGTGATGAATGCTTTCCTGCTCAGCACCCACTACACAGTGGGCTGGGTCTCATTACTCTGACTCCTCCTTGAGCTTCAGTCCGTGCCTGGTTCTAGATGTATTGACTCAACTCGAGGATCCAGAAGTGGGATGTGGCTCTGGCCTGGCCAGAGGACAGAGGATGCTGCATGCCATGGCTACAGCAACTGGTTCAGTTTGGGCTCATGTCCTAGTCAGAGCCAATGAGATATAATCTTGGGATATCTGCTGGGCTGTTGGGAAAGGGACAGGCTGCCCTGTTCATCCCCATTCCTGATGCTGAGGGATCTGAGAAAATCACTTGTAAAATTTGGGGGTGTTTGGAAGAAGGGGAGACTGATGTCTCCTTCTCTCTACAGGCATCTGATCAGCTACAGAGCTTGACTGACCTACCCAGAGGCAGAATGATATGGTGGTTAAAATTGTGCTCTGGGCCTGTAGGGGTGGGTTGCCTTTCCACACCTGTGGGTGTTCCTCGAAGAGGGGGATGTGTCAGGGTCACAAGACAATTGTGGGGAGAGGGTCAGCAGACAAACACGTGAACAAAGGTCTTTGCATCATAGACAATGTAAAGGGTTAAGTGCTGTGCTTTTAGATATGCATACACATAAACATCTTAATGCTTTACAAAGCAGTATTGCTGCCTGCAGGTCCTACTTCCAGCCTTAAGGCGGTTTTTCCTTATCTCAGTAGATGGAGCATACAATCGGGTTTTATACTGAGACATTCCATTGCCTAGGGACAGGCAGGAGACAGATGCCTTCCTCTTGTCTCAACTGCAAGAGGCATTCTTTCCTCTTTTACTAATCCTCCTCAGCACAGACCCTTTACGGGTGTCGGGCTGGGGGACAGTCAGGTCTTTCCTTTCCTACGAGGCCATATTTCAGACTATCACATGGGGAGAAACCTTGGACAATACCTGGCTTTCCTAGGCAGAGGTCCCTGCGGCCTTCCGCAGTTTTTGTGTGCTTGGGTACTTGAGATTAGGGAGTGGTGATGACTCTTAAGGAGCATGCTGCCTTCAAGCATCTGTTTAACAAAGCACATCTTGCACCGCCCTTAATCCATTCAACTCTGAGTTGACACAGCACATGTTTCAGAGAGCACGGGATTGGAGGTAAGGTCACAGAATCTCAAGGCAGAAGAATTTTTCTTAGTACATAACAAAATGGAGTCTCCTATGTCTACTTCTTTCTACACAGACACAGTAACAATCTGATCTCTCTTGCTTTTCCCCACATTTCCCCCTTTTCTTTTCGACAAAACCACTATCGTCATCATGGCCTGTTCTCGATGGTCGCTGTCTCTTCGGAGCTGTTGGGTACAGCTGCAGACTAACAACAGACAAAACAGGCACACAAGGATTAATATGAGATTTATAATTGTAGTACTTCCGATGGTCTTAAGTGACAGGGTTAAGATTTGCGAGGCCATCAGCAACTCCTGCAATTGCCTCAGTTCCTGGCACTAAATTTAAATGGGCTTTTGATGCTTCAAAAATTTGTTCTTTTAATTTGGAAATGTCTAAAGTGAGATTATCTTCTCTTCCTTGTAGATGGCGTCTAACTATGTCCTAGTGATGCTCAGACTCATTATAAATTTGGGGTGTAATACAAAAATCTGACGTATTCCAGTCACATTGTAACGTGAAACGATGTTCTAAGCTCATGAGTCTGTCTCCTATCCAAATGACAGTTTTTTTAAGATCATTAATTTGATTTGCCAATTTTTGATCAATACTAGATTGTGAATTCCACAATCTTGTAGAATTTTTTTGCCAATCATTAACAAAGTTTACTGACTGAACAGAAGAGTGCAATGCAACTTCTGCTACAGCAGCCGTAGCTGTGACTGCAATTAATCCTATAATCACTGCAATTAAAGTAAAAATGAATCTTTTGGATCTATTTAAAACACCTTTTAATACTTCAGTCAAAATATAGACGCATGGCGAGGCCTCCTACGGTCGGTCCATGGACACAGGGATCCACACGCCCTCTCTTGCTCTCACTAGCAGAATACGGTGTTGCCAATTAAAAGTTGAATCAATGCAAGTAAGCAATCTACAATTTTCACAGGTTATAGTCTGGGAGTCTGGTTTAATAACTATATTTCCTACAACTAGCATATAAGGGGGCTTTACGCAACTTTGTAAAGGAAGTGTTAGACTGGAATTTAGGTCGATAGTATAAAATGGCTTATGATCTCTTGTTTCTAAAGTTTGATTTCCAGACCAAATTCTAATGTGGTGTGAGGCCACAGTAAGCCTCCATAATTCTGGATGTTCAGGACCAGAAACAGGACTTATTATTTTTGGTCTTGGGGTAGAGATTCCTTTTTCTCCTCATTCCTAAGGGTAGAAAGACTGCAATTTTTTATGCTTATGTTTGTCTAAACTTTCTGTTAAGTCGCTATCAACAGCTGGACTCACTTGTGCACTTGGACACGGCTGAGTTTGTCCTGAGCAATTGTGGTAGAATTGACCTCGAGGTGCCTAATCTATAATAGTTCCGAATTCATTGTTTTGTAATATCACCGCACTATTGGCCACACATTCTTCCTAAACTAAAACTTCTGTATTTTTTGATTCTTTGGGAATTTCCTTGAGGCAAGGTTTCCTTTTAGGTCTAAATTTTAATGATCTTTGATAAGAAAAGTCTTGTAAATAATTTACCTGTGGCCTGAGTGACATCCCGCTTACCATGTGATAAGTGAATCTACTGATGGGACTGACAGTAGGTACTTCTACTAACCAATTTTGGACTGCAGGCATTAAACATCCTGGTGCTCTCCCTAGGCAAATAGGAGGATAACGATACCCAATGGAAATATTTATCATCATCCTTTCTTCCTCAGGTTTGGCAGGGCAGCGATCATCTGTGGGGCCAGGTACCCATACACTATCATTAACATATACTTCTATAGGATTATCCATCCATGTGACTGCCCAAATTAAGGGCGGGAAAGGCACTTAGGCCCAGTAGGTATAGTTAGCTGCAGCTGCTCCTGCAGGCATAGGGAGACTTACCACCATTGATACAATCATCAAGGCTGCAAGCAGCATACTCTCTGGGGTTTGTGTCACCTTTGTGTTCTCTAGATATTTTGTAGCTAACTGTGTCAGCTTCTTTAGTTGTGCCCAAGTCGGTGGCTCTGCCTTCTTGGTGGATGGCAACTTCATCTCTTCTTCTGACGTCACCATTTTGTTCATCTTGTGAGTCAACGGTGCTCGATTGTGGTGTCTCCGTCTCCACGGATGTGCTTTTCTTTGCATCTCTGATGAGTTCATTGTAGAACTTCAAATGTCTAGTGGGTATCCAAACAGGAAGCTGATTTTCTCCTGGTGAAACACAAGCAAAACCTCTCCCCCACATTATCACCTTCCTTATTTCCCATGTCTTATTTTTATTATCTTTCCACCAAATTAGTTTTCCTTCATGTGGGCTGTTCTTTTTAGCAGTAAGATGTTGTTCTGCAGAAGTAGTAGTCTAATTTCTATAAATGTTTAAAAAATGTAAAGTATAGAGTGCTAGATTAAGTTGCATCTGAGGAGTGGTACACTCCTTACTGTCTCCCCCTTCTTTTTGTTTAACTAATTGAGTTTTGAGTGTTCTATTAGTTCTTTCAACTATGGCCTGTCCTTGGGAATTATAAGGAATTCTTGTTGTATGTGAAATTTTCCACTGACTTAAGAACTTTTGGAAAGCTTTACTACAATATCTTTGTCCATTGTCAGTTTTGATTTTTTCTGGAACTCCTATTACAGCAAAATAAGACAATAAATGTTTTTTAACATGGGAAGTATTTTCTCCTGTTTGGCAAGTTGCCTATATGAAATGTGAATAAGTATCAACTGTTACATGAACATATGATAATCTTCCAAATGAAGGAACATGCGTGACATCCATTTGCCATAATGCATTAGGACACAGACTTCTGGGATTAACTCCTGCCTCTTGGGTGGGCAGGTGTAAGATTTGACACTGGGTGCAATGTTGTACAATATCTTTTGCCTGTTTCTATGTGACATCAAATTTGTTTTTTAATCCTGCTGCATTTACATGAGTCAAAGCATGAAGTTCTTGTGCTTTTATGAATGCAGATGATACCAGTAAGTCAGCTTGTTCATTTGCTTTAGTCAAAGGCCTTGGTAAATTAGTGTGTGCTCGAATATGAGTAATATAAAATGGGAAATTTCTTTTTCTTACAATTTGTTGTAATAAATTGAATAGCTGGTTTAACTGATCATCCATGCTATATTTAATTAGAGCTGTCTTAACATCCTTTGTAACCTGTACTACATATGCAGAATCTGATATAATATTGATAGGTTGGTCAAAATCTTGTAACACTGTAATGACTGCAACCAACTTTGCTCTTTGAGTCGGTTGATATGGAGTTTTGATTACTCGTTCTTTCGGCCTTGTGTAAGCTGCTTTTCCATTGCTGGAACCATCAGTAAATACTGTTAGAGCATTTTCTAAAGGTTCACATCTGGTAATTTTAGGTAGAATCCAAGTAGTCAATTTTAAGAACTGGAAGATTTTTGTTTTTGGGTAATGATTATCAATAATTCCTACAAAATTAGCAAGACCAATCTGCCATGCACCAGAATTGATAAAGGCTTGTCTAACTTGTTCCTTGGTTAAAGGGACAACTATTTTGTCTGGGTCATTTCCACATAATTTTATTATTCATAATCTTGTCTGACCAATTAATGTAGCTATTTGATCCAAGTACAATGTAAAAGTCTTAACTGTACTGTGAGGAAGGAATGACCACTCCACAAGATCAGTATTTTGAATAATGATGCCTGTTGGAGAATGTGCAGTGGCAAAAATTAAAAGATGGAGTGGGGCTAAGGGATCTATTCTATTTATTTGCGCTGACTGAATTTTTTCTTCCACTAATTTAATTTCTTTTGTTGCCTCTGGGGTTAACATTCTTTTACTATTTAAGTCTGAGTCTCCTCTTAAGATAGAGAACAAATTTGACATGGCATAAGTAGGAATGCCTAGAGTTGGCCGAATCTAATTAATATCTCCTAGCAATTTTTGAAAATCATTTAGTGTTTTTAATGTGTCTTTTCTTATTTCTATTTTTTGTGGCTTAATTTTTCTATTTTCTATCTGCATTCTTAAATAATGAAAAGGAGTAGAGGTTTGGATCTTATCAGATGCTATTGCCAGACCTGCATTGGCAACTTCTGCTTGCAGAAATGTATAACAGTCAATTAATTTATCTTTCGTTTCTGCAGCACATAAAATATCATCAATATAATGAATAATATAACAGTCTGAAAACTTTTCTTTAACTGGTTGAAGAGCTCGACCTACAAAAGTCTGACAAATAGTTGGACTATTAAGCATTCCTTGAGGTAACACTTTCCACTGAAACCTGGTGGCTGGTTCTTTATTATTTATGGCTGGTATAGTAAAGGCAAATTTTTCACAATCTTGCTCCACCAGAGGGATGGTAAAAAAGCAATCCTTTAGATCAATTATAATTAAAGGCCAGTCTTTTGGGATCATGGCCGGAGAGGGCAACCTAGGTTGGAGAGGCCTCATGGGTTGAATTACGGCATTTATGGCCTTTAAGTCAGTTAACATACGCCATTTGCCTGATTTCTTCTGAATTACAAACACAGGAGAATTCTAAGGCAAGAATGAAGGCTCAATATGACCTTTTTCTAACTGTTCATTTGCTAATAAATGTAAAGCCTCCAGTTTTTGTTTTGGTAGCGGCCACTGATTTACCTACACCAATTTTTCTGTTTTCCAAGTTAATGGTATGGGTTTAGGAGGCTCTACAGTGGCCGCCCCTAAAAAGGATACCCTATTCCTTCTCTTTTTTGATTTATTTTAGCCTCAACTGGAACTTTAATGCCATCTTCATTTTTCCTTAGTCCTTTTCCTGGTATATATCCTATCTTGGTCATGATTTTTTGACTCGTGGGGCTATATAATGGAGCGGGCATGGTGATTTCTGCACCCCATTGTTGTAATAAATCTCAACCTCACAGATTAAGAGGAATTGAAGTAATCATTGGCTGAACAGTACTTTCTTGATTATCTGGCCCTAAGCAATGTAAAATCTCAGTACTTTGATACACTTCTGAGGCTGTGCCTATGCCAACAAGTCCTGTAACAGCCTTTTGTTTAGGCCAATTTTTTGGCCACTGATTTAAAGCAATGATGGAGACATCTGCTCCAGTGTCTACTAACCTTTCAAACTGTTTTCCTTGAATAATGGCCTTACACACAGGTCTGTTCTCTGAGACCTGACTTGCCTAATATGCAGCCTTTCCTGTTGGATCAGTGCTTCTAAACCCTCCTATTCTTTTTATTTCACTATTTCCACCCTTAATATATGGCAGGAGTAATAATTGAGCAATCCTGTCTCCTGGACTGGCACCTCAAGGAATTGAAGAGCTAATAACCAATTGAATTTCGCCTTTATAGTCTGAATCAACTACACTAATATGAATTTGAACTCCTTTTAGATTTAGACTTGATCTTCCTAAGATTAGTCCTACAGTCCCCTCAGGCAGTGGGCCATATACCCCTGTGGGGATTTTTTGTGGGGACTCCCTTGGAAGCAGAGAGACTGCTTGTATAGTACATAAATCTACTGCTGCACTGCTGCTTGTGGCGGGGGACAATTGTTGTATTGTGGTAACTGGCTTATTCCTTGAAACACTTGGGACAGGGGGGGTTGTTGTCCCTGAAAACTTTGAGGAACAAATGGCTGAATTGGGAATGCCCCAGTTTGTTGTGGGGCCTGAGGCTGGCCTCTTTGCTCGTTTCCTGACAATGGTTGCCTATTTTTATCAAATTTAGAATGACATTGACTAGCCCAATGTTTTCCTTTTTTACATCTTGGACATAAGTCAGGTGGCTCTCTACCTGTTGTAGTTGCTTGAATAGTTATATTCTGTTTGTTTAAGACTGGGCAATTCTTTTTTAAGTGACCAATTTGACCACAATTATAACATTTTCTTCTAAATGTTCTAACTTGTCCTCCTAAAACAACTCCTGTTATTGCTTGAGCCATAAGCATAGCTTTATGCATATCTCCTCCGATTCCATCACAGGCTTTTACATATTCTGAGATTACATCTGATCCTGTAGGAACCTTTCCTTTTAATGGCTTAATGGCTGATTGACACTTAGGATTGGCGTTTTCATATGCCATCAACTCCACTATGACCTTACGGGCTTTTTCATCGGCAATTGACTTTTGAGCAACATCTTGGAGCCTTGCCACAAAATCAGGGTAGGGCTCTTTCGAACCTTGTCTTACTGTATTAAATGAGGGGCAGGCGCTTCCTGGGTCTTGGATTTTTTCCTAGGCTCTAAGGCAGATAGCTCTAACTTGCTCAATGGCCTCATTTTGCATTAATGCTTGTTGACTAATAGTACTCCAATTTTGACCTGTTCCTAATAGTTGATCTGCATCTATGTTAACTGGAGGATTGGCAGCCCTATTTCTTCGGACCTGTTCTTGTACTCTATCAATCCACCAAGTCTTAAATTGTAAAAATTGAGAGGGTGAGAGAGACGATTTTGCCAGAATCTCCCAATCATAAGGAATGAGTCTATGTCCATGAGCAATGGAATCTAATAATGTCCTCATATAAGGGGAGTTGGGTCCATACTGTTTTACTCCCTCTTTCATATCTTTTAGCATTTTTATCGAAAAAGACTTGTATCTGGCCTCAACTGTGGGAGGCTCTCCCTCTTGGGCTCCTTCTCCAGTTGGCATCGGTTCTAATGTTACTGGGAATTGCCACGCCTCAGTATCTCCTTCCTTTCTTGATTTATCAATAATTTCATGTAATTCACTACCCTGTCTACTAGGTGGTGCCATAGGATTAAGTCTCCTAGTGGGCAGCTGAGGGTATGGCGCCCTGCCCTGTGGTGCTGGGGGCATTCCTGGATATCCATACTGACTTTCTGGGGGTGGCCGATACTGAAGTTCAGCCGGCGGCCAGTATTGATAAGCTTCTGGCGGTTGGGTCTTATTTTCTTTAACCTGCATTTGAGGTTGTAATGTTACAGGCACCTGACCTGCTGGAAGAGGACTTGTGCCTCATGGTTTAGACTCTGATGGCCCCACTAATTCTGGACCTTTTCCTTCTAATTTTAACGTTTCAGGTTATATCACCTCTTGTAATTGATTATAGTCAACATTTTGCGTTGACTGAGCCATTACCGGCTCTGCTACATATTCGCAATGTAAACTTTCCGTTTCTTTCTGGGATTTTTTCCTTGTCTTTTCATTACAATCTATTAAACAGCTTCCAGGGGCATCAGAAACTGAAACGCTATCTTCTTCTGTTTGAAATGGTTCTAAAGCTGCTTTAATAATGGCCCAATCATTCCATACTGTAAGTGGAATGATATTACCCTTCCTACCTGCTTGTTTTAGTTCCTTACCAATTCTTTTCCAATCTTTTAGATCTAAAGTTCCTTGTTCTGGAAACCATGGGCAAAATTGTTCTATTATTTGAAATAGCTTGATTAGATTTTTTGTAGATACTTTAACTCCCCCTCTTTTTAAAAGAATTTTAATAAAGCTGAGATGAGAGGCATATTTACTTTTAATTTTACTTTTAGTTTGCCCCATTATCACCTTAGCTTCTTCTGAGCACACAAGCTTACCGTAAGGCTGACTGTAGACGTACTTGGGATCTCTCGTCGACTTGTCCTCAATGACCACGCTCGAGCGTACCTTCACCCTAGAGAAAAGCCCCACGTTGGGCGCCAGATGTAGGGGTGGGTTGCCCCTCCACACCTGTGGGTGTTCCTCGAAGAGGGGGATGTGTCAGGGTCACAAGACAATTGTGGGGAGAGGGTCAGCAGACAAACACGTGAACAAAGGTCTTTGCATCATAGACAATGTAAAGGATTAAGTGCTGTGCTTTTAGATATGCATACACATAAACATCTCAATGCTTTACAAAGCAGTATTGCTGCCCGCAGGTCCCACCTCCAGCCCTAAGGCGGTTTTTCCTTATCTCAGTAGATGGAGCATACAATCAGGTTTTATACTGAGACATTCCATTGCCTAGGGACAGGCAGGAGACAGATGCCTTCCTCTTGTCTCAACTGCAAGAGGCATTCTTTCCTCTTTTACTAATCCTCCTCAGCACAGACCCTTTACGGGTGTCGGGCTGGGGGACAGTCAGGTCTTTCCCTTCCCATGAGGCCATATTTCAGACTATCACATGGGGAGAAACCTTGGACAATACCTGGCTTTCCTAGGCAGAGGTCCCTGCGGCCTTCTGCAGTTTTTGTGTCCTTGGGTACTTGAGATTAGGGAGTGGTGATGACTCTTAAGGAGCATGCTGCCTTCAAGCATCTGTTTAACAAAGCACATCTTGCACCGCCCTTAATCCATTCAACTCTGAGTTGACACAGCACATGTTTCAGAGAGCACGGGGTTGGGGGTAAGGTCACAGAATCTCAAGGCAGAAGAATTTTTCTTAGTACATAACAAAATGGAGTCTCCTATGCCTACTTCTTTCTACACAGACACAGTAACAATCTGATCTCTCTTGCTGTTCCCCACAGGGCCGAGATCTTGCCACTGCACTCCAGCCTGGGTGACAGAGTGAGACTCCATCTCAAAAAAAAAAAAAGTGTGCTCTGGGCTGGGCGCAGGGGCTTACAACTGTAATCCCAGCACTTTGGGAGGCTGAGGCAGGAGGATCGCTTGAAGTCAGGAGTTTGGGATCAGATCCTATCTCTAGAAAAATGATTTTTAAAAATTAGCTGGGTTGGTGGTGAATGCCTGTAGTCCCAGCTACTCAGGAGGCTGAGGCAGGAAGATTGCTGGAGCCCGGGAGTTCAAGGCTGCAGTGAGCTATGATCAGGCCACTGCACTCCAGTTTGAGGGACAGAGAGAGATCCCATCTCCCTAAAGAACAAAAAAGTGTGCTCTGGTGCCACACTGCCTGGTTAGATCCTTTGTCCACCACTTAGATGCATGTTATATAAATGCTGTCTTCAATTTCCTCATCTGTAACTTGGGGATGATAATGCTGTCCCATGAAGTGGTTGTGGGGACTAAATGTACGTGGGCACATTGGTAAGTATTCAACAAGCTTGATTTTTCCTGGAGAGGGAGAAAGAGCATACAGTGAAGTGGCATGGTCAGGTGCATTGGGGCAAGGATTATTTCCTCTGGCTTCTGCCTCCTGGGAGGTACTAAGGATGGATCTGAAATGTGTCTGCAGACCCCAGAGTTGGGGACTGCAGAGGGAAATTGAGATCAGGGACCCCAGTCTGGCAGAAATGGGTGCAGCATGGGGCATTGGGTTCCTTCCATCAGAGGCATGGGGTGTGTTGCAGACAGTCATGAGATGTGGCTGAATCTTGCAAGGGAGCCACTGTCCTAGGGTTGCTGCTTGAGACAAAGACCACTGTCAGTGGAACCTGGTGACCTTCACCCTTCTGTGTCAGGCTGCAGACAGCAAGAGATGGCAGCAGATTACACCCAACAGGAAAAGGGCCATTGCTATCCCACAGGTTGCCATAGGAGGGGATGATATCTCTTCCCTCTCCTCCTCCAGCAGTGTCAGCTGGGGAAGAGGTGGGTTGGTGTGCACAAAAGAGTAGACCGCAGACCATGCTGCTTCTCCTCCAGTCTGCTGGGGCCCCAAGAGAGTCTGCAGCCCTTGGCCAGGGACCGGCTGACACAGGAGAACAAAAGATCTCAGGCTGGGATAACATGGTGGTGCAGTTCATCCTCTGGAGCTCCCTGTGAGATCAGACTGGAGCCAGTCTCCAGCTGAGACCACATCTCACTTAGCTCCTTCCCTGCCATATCCTGTTTTCCTTACTCCTATCTCCTGAGAGTCCTGAATGAATTACATGCACTCAATCCGTGCCTCAGGCTCTGTTTTTCGGGAACTTGACCTAAGACAGATATCTTAGTACTAAATACTTTGCAAGGCTTCAGAAGCTCTGCTATCCACAGGCAGGTGAGATATTACCTTCCCTACCACCTGGCAGTCATAGTCTATGATGCAACTCAGCTTTGTGGAAGTGCTTCTCTAAAGAACTTCCCCCAATTTAAGATGATCTTAATTTGCTTACTTGTTTACTGTCCATTCAGCTGCTCTAAAATGTGAGCTCCAAATCAGGGACCATGTCTGGTTGGTTACCCATTTCCTGGGACCTAGAACGGGCCTAGCTCAGAGCAGGTGCTCACTATTGATGGAATGCATGTTGAAAGAATGCATGAATCTCATCTCCTTTTGTGGGTGAAAATCTCATCCTATTCTCACTCCTGATTAACTTTCTTTCTTTTTTTTTTTTCAAAACGGAGCCCTGATCTGTCACCCAGGCTGGAGTGCAATGGTGCCATCTCAGCTCGCTGCAACCTCTGCCTTCTGGATTAAAGCAATTCTCCTGCCTCAGCCTCCCGGGTAGCTGGGATTACAGGTGCACACCACCACGCCCGGCTAATTTTTTGTATTTTTAATAGAGACAGGGTTTTGCCATGTTGGCCAGGCTGGTCTCAAACCCCTGACCCTGTGATCTGCCCGATTTGGCCTCCCAAAGTCCTGGGATTACAAACATGAGCCACCGTACCCAGCCACTCTTGATTAACTTAATGGAAATATTTAGAGATTCTTTCTTTTCTGGGTTCTAGAGTCTTCTCTGTAACCTCTGCAGGTAATACATTTTCCTTCCTGATAAAGCATTTCTATGGTTGCTTTCACTTGCAAATCCTCTAATACTTATTTATTCCATTTCTGATTGGCATTAGACATAATTCTCAATTTTTAGTGACAGCACTTTTGTTAACTTACATATAAATCGACTTTGCCTTGAAATGTGACATTGACTAGAAGGACGACACTTCTAACATGTTGTAGAACATAGTTTGACTGGCTAATTTATTATTTAGAAGAAGCTAATATTGCCATTATGAGGGACTTAGGTGGCTCTGAAGAACAAGTTGTATTTCTGATGTTTGCAATGTTAAATCACAGATATTGCCAATGTGAAATAGTTTCCGTATGCTGTGTTCTCAATACACACCTTTTCCAAGGATATCCCAAGCTGTAGTCTTAGGAAACTGTGATTTTTCTTATTTGGTCTCATAGGAATTTGGGGAGCTATGCGGGATCTCCATAAAATGAGCTCCAGAAAGACACATGTGTGCGCGCACACACACACACACACACACACACACTCACACATGTACCGCACCACAATTGAATCTGTTTATTTGGGACCCATGATTATTTTCAACAAACACTTCTGAGAAATAATCTGAACACTTAATTGGATGCAAAAGAGTGAGTATTTACTATTCTACCCTTTAATTAGCATAATCAATGTTTCCAGCAGCAAAAGCAATTGGAAAATCGCTAGTTTTATTAG
Organism: Homo sapiens; assembly: GCF_000001405.40. Lineage (NCBI taxonomy): Eukaryota > Metazoa > Chordata > Mammalia > Primates > Hominidae > Homo > Homo sapiens. The sequence continues at coordinate 125,887,634 of NC_000003.12, read as the reverse complement.
GTTCATTATTCTCCCTTAGCGTAGTGTGGCATCAGCATGGCTATTATTCTTAAATTGCCTCCTTAAAACAAGGGCTGGTGCTTCTTACAGGCCATTCCTAACTCTTGGGTTTTGTAGAGAGTCCAAAACTCTTTAGAACCTATAATTCAAGGAAAGGCTCCACTTTGGTTTTGCATTTTGTCTGGTCTCTTTGGCTGACAGAATTTATGTCAAAAGGTGCACATGTTTGTGGGAGGCTCATGGACAGCCCATCACGTTTGTGCTTTGGTAGGAAGTACGTGCCATTAAGGGGAAGGAGTTAGTTACTGATTCTAGGGAACAATTGGGTAGAAAGAGATGGACTCCCTGTGTTTGAAATTCAGAACTCAAGCTTGGCTCTAAGTGTTTCCTTGCTTTGCTGTGCTCCAGGGGAGTCCTTGAGCAGAAGGAAGCAAGTTGCCTGAGATTCTTCAAAGCCCGCAGCCCTTTTGGAGGTTAGATGGTTATTCTCAGAGCCTTTATGATGCATAATAAAGACCTAGCTTGGACCAATATTAGGATGAGTTATCTTGCTATTAACATTCTTTTAGGTAGAAGTTGCTGGTCCCATCTTGCTCACAATCCTCCAAAGTTTGAAAGTTATTTTCCAGGAGACTTGGCTTGCACTGAGAGCTGCCCTCCCACCCTCTCTCCAAATTTCCTCTTGGGGGTAGCCTAACAAGGTGCTGTCACAGACCCTTGTCGGCCACGATGACCCCACCCAGACCATCCCTCTGCTGTTTCACTCTTTGATAGTCTCTGGAGCTCTCTGGGGAGGGGTGAGACCTGCCGTCTAGTTTGTATGGTTTGCCCAGGTCTTACAGTCATGGCTGGCTGCCTCTCTCTGAGAACTAGAACTCCTGAACTTGGTGAAAGACCTCAGCCATCGATCATGTTGAATTATCGGGGACACTCATTTGAAATCCGAGCCTGTTCCAGATAGACTCTCTCTCTTTCTGCCCTGACCGTGAGAGAAGCCCTGCTGGACGGTGGAGACACTCGTGGGCTGTGAGCAAGGGATGCAAAGGCTGCCGGGAATCCCATCTTTCCAGCATCATCTGCCAAGGCACATTAGTTCCTGGGTATCTGGATGGGTTCTAGCAGCATTACTGTCATTGAAGGAAAAATTTTAGCCATATTAAAGGTTAATGCAGCAATCTCCACATAGGCTGCCTGGAAGGGAAGCAGGACAAGGTTAGGTTTTCCTTGTGATGGACAGGAGGCAGGCGGCCCTCCCACAGCCCTGCCTGGCAATACAGATGTGTCCCCAAAAGGCACTGGGGGCCAGCTGGAGTGCTATGCCGAGGCGGACTGACCCGGGCCGTGGGTTCACTCTGCTGGCAGCGGTTTCCCGCCAGCTCCTTGCAGAGTTGGCAGATGGCCCAGCCCCACAGCAGGAGCCGGGAATGGCAGAACGAGACACAACAATTTGATATCCACTTGCCAGATGAGCCGGGTGTCATCAGTCGCCTGGCTCTATGCCCAACCTCTTTTTGCATAAACACTTATGGATTCAGCCAAGAGGAAAAGCACTCTGATTATGAATTGAGCAGAAGGAAACAAAGTTCTGCAGATAAACACCAATGAAACAAAAAACCACGAATAAGAAAAATGACAGAAAAGGAGAACCTTCCCAGAATCCTCCTGCCAGTGAACGGTCACCAGAGCAAGAGCATGGAGTCCCTGGGTTTTGAACTGTGAGATAAGGAAGATGATGAAAACCTCCCTAGCAGCCAGGTAAGCACAAGATTCCTGTGAAATCCAGGTCTAAGTGTTTTGACCACAGAAGTAATATTATGTCATAGGTGAGAGCTGTGAGTTGCTGAACCCAAAGTGAGTTCAAATCCGAGTTCTGTCTCCTGCAAACTGTGTGACTTTGAGAAGTTCCAGCACCACTTTGTGCCTTAGTTTTCTCATCTGTTGAATGGGTGTAATCACAGCTCCTGCCTCAGAGTTGTTGTAAATTAATACATGTAAAGCACTGAAATCAGCCTGGTATACAGTAAGTGTTATGAATGTTACTTTCTTGGAAGGACAGAACTTATTTTCATGGTCTAAGCCTGAAAATCTAAAAAATGTGAGAGAAGAGGAAAGAATCTAGAGTGTCACCATGAGGGGGAAAAGTCAACTTGAAGCAGGACAGGGTCATTGACAATTTCCTGTGATTCTACAGCTGCCTTGTACACTATGGTAGCTCCTAGCCACTTGTTTAGATTTTGTGATTTAGAAATGAATTAAGGCTGGGCATGGTGGCTCACACCTGTAATCCCAGCACTTTGGGAGGCCAAGGTGGGCAGATCACCTGAAGTCAGGAGTTCAAGATCAGCCTGGCCAACATGGTGAAATCCCATCTCTACAAAAATACAAAAATTAGCTGGCCATGATGGCGGGTTCCTGTAATCCTAGGTACTCAGGAGGCTGAGGCAGGAGAATTGCTTGAACCTGGGAGATGGAGGTTGCAGTGAGACGAGATTGTGCCACTGCACTCCAGCCTGGGGAATAGAATGAGACTCTGTCTCAAAAAAAAAAAAAATTTTTTTTGTTAAAATAAGAGAAAATTGAAAATTCAGCTCTTCATTCTCACCAGCCACATTTCAAGGGCTCAACAGCCCATGTGGGTGGCTAGCAGCTCCCATGTTGGACAGTGCAGAGTAGAGCAAGTCCGCCATTGCAGAATGTTTGATTGGACAGTGACCGAATAGTCTATTGCAGTGGTCCCCAATTTTTTTTTAGCACCAAGGACCAGTTTCCATGGATTTTTAGGGGGAAGTTTCGGGATGATTCAAGTGCATTACATTTACTGTGTACTTTATTTCTATTGTTATGAACATTATAATATACAATGAAATCATTATACAACTCACCATAATGTAGAATCAGTGGGAGCCCTGAGCTTGTTTTCCTGCAACTAGATAATTCCATCTCAGGGTGGTGGGAGACAGTGACAGATCATCAGGCATTAGATTGTCATAAGGAGCACACAACCTAGATCCCTTCCACATGCAGTTCACACTAGGGTTGGTGCTCCTATGAGAATCTAATGCCACTGCTGATCTGATAGGAGACAGAGATCAGCCAGGGGGATCAGCTGTAAATACAGATGAAGCTTCACTCACTAGCCCGCTGCTCACCTCCTTCTGTGCAACCCAGTTCCTAACAGGCCACAGACCACTACTGGTCAGTGGTCTGGGGGCTGGGGACCTCTGGTCTATTGGATAACACTGGCTTGGAGCATACTGATCATCCAAAGAAGAGCTGAGATGATTTGGCCTCCATTAGTAAGAATGATGGACTTTTTTTTTTTTTTTTTTTTTGTGAGACAGAGTTTCACTCATGTTGCCCAGGCTGGAGTGCAGTGGCACCATCTCAGCTCACTGCAACCTCTGCCTCCCAGGTTCAAGTGATTCTCATGCCTCAGCCTCCCAAGTAGCTGGAATTACAAGTGCCTGCCACCGTGCCTGGCTAATTTTTGTATTTTTAGTAGAGTCGGGGTTTTGCCATGTTGATCAGGCTGGTCTTAAATTCCTGACCTCAAGTGATCCGCCTGCCTTGGTCTCCCAAAGTGCTGGGATTACTGGTGTGAGACACCGCACCTGGCCAGATGGACTTTTTTTGAGCATTTAGTTCCAAGCACCTTCCCTGCACTTTCTCAGTTAATCCTCCCAGTGACTCTTTGAAGCAGGGACTATGACAATCTTCAATTCCCAGATGGAGCAACTCAGGCACAGAAAGCTAGTCATTGGCCACGGTTGCCCAGCTGAGGAAGGATGGAGCCAGCTGAGATCCTGTTCTGGGGATCTAACTCTGCAGCCTGCATTCTGGGCTGTTGTATTCTCCCATGTTGCTATCTGACGAGCACAGCATGGGCTCAGAGTACAGAGAGGAGGAACCAGGTGACAAGGATAGGTCTGGGGTGAAGGCTGGTGCCTTGGGGAAGGAGAGAGAGGCCCCATTCTAAAGGGATGCCATTGGAAGCTCATAGTGATAAAGCAAAGCCGACAGGTTTTGGGGCTGGGAGTTAAACACACAGCTCTGGTTTCTGCCTTTTCACAGTGGTGATGAATGGGCACTGAGACCCTCTCAAGCTAAAGTTGTCATCACTGATCTTCATAGTCTGAAGGTGCATGAAATGGTCAACTTTCTTCCAAAAGGCTTTTATGCCTAAGTCTGTGGTTAGTGTATAAACAGATATTTACTGAAGTCCTGCTGGGTGCAGACACTGTGGCCAGCCCTGAGGCTACAGTCGAGATGAAGCCAGTTTCTGTCCTCATGGAGACCTGTCTATTGATAAGAGAAAGCTCACTGAGCATTGACCCTGTGCCCACTGCTTTTGATGCATCTCTCATTTAATCCTTCTATCAAATCTGTGAGATAAACACATCACCATCATCCCTATTTCACATTTAGGGAAACATATGCTTAGAGAGGGTAAGTAACTTGGTCAAGGTCGCACAGCTTCGAACTCTCATCCCACAGGTGCAGGAATGAGAGGCAGCAGCCAGGGAAGCCAGGGTCTCCGGAAGTCCTTGTCTCTGGGTGGTTATACAGAGAGAGAGAGAGAACACGATTGTCTCAGCAATGGGTCTTCTTCTGAGTCTTGAAGGAGCACTTCCAGAGCCTCTCGGTGTTAAACATCATGTTGTGAATGACTCCGTGAGCTCTGGCCCAGTGATCTTGGGGATAAAGGAGGGGAGGTACAGATAAGCTCTTCGAATGGATGTTGCCGGGGTGTCAGTGTTCTTTGAGGGCACAGACTATGTGTCACCAAGGAAAGAGCCCAGTGCCTTTTCTCATTGCTCAAGAGATTGAAGGGGTAGGAAGAAAAGATGTTAAGTTATAAATACGTTTCAGTTTTGGTACCAGTTGAACCAATTTACGTTTTGAAGAGGAGAGTCTTGCCTACAAAGTGACCCCCCGGGTTTTCCTTCTGCTTATGGAATCCAGGCAATGGGCAAAGAGAAAAAGAAAACTAAGGAATCAGCCAGGTGCAGTGGCTCGTGCTTGTAATCTTGGCACTTTGGGAAGCTGAGGCAGGTGGACTTCTTGAGTTCAGGAGTTCAAGACCAGCCTGGGCAACATAGTGAGACCCCGTTTCTACAAAAAATACAAAAAAGTTGCTGAGCGTGGTGGCATGCACCTGTAGTCCCAGCTACTTGGGAGGCTGAGGTGGGAGAACTACTTCATCCCAGGAGGCTGAGGCTGCAGTGAGCCATGATCGTGCCACTATACTCCAGCCTGGGTGGCAGAGTGAGGCCCTGTCTCAAAAAAAAAAACCCAAAAAGTTAAGAAAAAGAAAACTAGGGAATCTAGACAGAATAAGTTTATATATATAATAAAGAACTGAGCTAGAACTGGGTTGACTGAGTAATTATTTGAATTGCTTTTGACTGAATTTTTCCTATTGCAGTCTACCTTTGTTTTTGTGTGTGTGTGTGGTTTGTTTTGTTTTGTTTTGTTTTGTTTGGTTTGGTTTGGTTTGGTTTAGTTTCGTCTTTGTGTTTTTTTGAGACTGGGCCTTGCTCTGTTGCCTAGGCTGCTGGAGTGCGGTGGCGTGATCTCAGCTCACTGCAACCTCTGCCTTCTGGGTTCCAGCAATTCTTCTGCCTCAGTCTCCCCAGTAGCTGAGACTGCTGGGCATGCACCACCAAGCCAAGCTAATTTTTGTGTTTTTAGTAGAGATGGGGTTTCACCATGTTGGCCAGGCCTGGTCTTGAACTCCTGGGCTCAAGTGATCCGCCTGCCTCGGCCTCCCAAAGTGCTGGGATTACAGGTGTGAGTCCCTGCGCCCAGCTAGAGTCTACCTTTCTTTGAATTCACTGCAGTGCAAAGACTGAGGCATGTGGAACTCCAGGTGTGTATGGGTTACATAGAGATGCTAGGGGCTGATTAAGGAAGGAAAGATATGAGAAGCCTGCAGAGCATGCTTTCCCAGACTGTATGGGCCCTGGGAAAGGAGAAGTGGACAGAAAGGGAACACTGGATGCCCTGGAAGAGAAGATTCATCCAAGTCATCAGGGAAGTTACTAATGCAAGGGAAGAAATGCAGAGACAGGGCCAAACACGCTTCTTCCAAGTCCTTTCTGTCCGCTCAGTCACCTCTATGCTTATTTTTCTTCTTTCCTGTAAATAGTGTCATGCGTTTTCTTCCCATTCCTAGTCACTCCTAGTCAACTAACTCCTCTCTTTACCGTCTTTTCACCAGAACTTGAAACCTCCTCTCCTTCATGTATTAGTGATCATGTTTCTCCATAATACTGCTAGAAAGTAGAATTGAAACCTGGAAACCCTGCATTTGAGTACCAGATCTGCCTCTGCTAGCTATTTGAGAAGTTATTTTTTTCCATTCTTTTTGTTCTTGTTGAAACAGGTTGTCACTCTGTCACCCAGGCTGGAGTGCAGTGGTTCAATATTGGCTCACTGCAGCCTCAACCTCCTGGGCTCAAGCAGTCCTTCCACATCAGCGTCCTGAGTAGCTGGGACTGCAGGTGTGTGCCACCACACCTGGCTAATTTTTAATGGTTTTTTTTTGGTTATTTATTTCTTTTTGTAGAGATGGGGTCTTGCTATGTTGCGCAGGCTGGTCTCAAACTCGTGGGCTCAAGCGATCCTCCTGCCTTGGCCTCAGATAAAATGGGAAAAGTTCCCTTGTCCCCCTCGAAGGGCATGTGATGGGGGTGTGGTTCGCTTCATCAGTGCCCCACTGCTCAAACCTCTAGGGGAGCATACAGACAGGCAGGGAGCCCCATGGCAGGGTCTAGGGGTGAATGTTTGTAGTTGAAGCCCCAGTGGGCGTGTGTTACAGGGTGCTCTTTTAGTTTAGCCGTCCGTAGGTAGCTTGTGTTAGTCGGCTCAATTAGACCCCCACCTTATTGCAAAGACAGAGGGCTCTCTTTGTCCTGGGGTTCTTGCCTTGGTGTACCGGAAGCGGTGTGATCTCAGCTCACTGCAAGCTCCGCCTCCTGGGTTCACGCCATTCTCCTGCCTCAGCCTCCCAAGTGGCTGGGACTACAGGCGCCCGCCACCACGCCTGGCTAATTTTTTTGTATTTTTAGTAGAGATGGGGTTTCACTTTGTTAGCCAGGATGGTCTCGATCTCCTGACCTCGTGATCTGCCCGCCTTGGCCTCCCAAAGTGCTGGGATTACAGGAGTGAGAGTGCAAGGTTTTATTGAGTGGAAGTAGCTCTCAGCAGATGGGGGAGCCAGAAGGAAGATGGTTTTCCCCTGGAGTCAGGTGAGTGGCCCGACTCTTCTCTGACTGTCCCAGCCAAACTCTGCTTGTTGTGCCAGTCAGTGGCCTGCAGTGTGCCGGTGCCTATTGGTGTGTTCCTCTTGACGTGCAGCACCCATGTGTTCCTCCACTGATGTGCTCCTCTCGAAGTCCAGCCGCCTGTGTGTCTGCCTGCTAGGGTCTCAGGGTTTTTATAGGCACAGAATGGGGGTGTGGCAGCCAGGGTGGTCTTGGGAAATGCAACATTTGGGCAGGAAAACAAAAATCCCCATCCTCACCTAGGTCCGTGGGCACAGGCCCTGGGTGGAGCACTAGCCAGCGACAACACCCTCCTCTACCCAGTACTTCCCTTCTTCACTTCCATATCATTTAAAGGGACCACATTCTTCCCTTCCGATCACTTCCCTTCTGTATCACAAAGTGCTGGGATTATAGGCATGAGCCACTGGTCCCAGCCAATTCCGTTCTTTTAATGCAAACTAGAAAATAGGTGTTCAGAAAGGCCTGCCCTATCCACCTCAGGGAGTTGCTATGAAGATCAAATTAGATCATGTGCAACAGAAGTTTAGAAAAGATTCCAAAAGCACTGCACAATGGGAATGTATTTTTAAACTCCACTGAGTGGACTTAAAACTATGTTTTTTACTTTCTTTTTTTTTTGTTTGAGACAGAGTTTCACTCTTGTTGTCTAGGCTGGAGTGCAATGAAGCCATCTTGGCTCACTGCAACCTCCGCCTCCCAGGTTCAAGTGATTCTCTGCCTCAGCCTCCCAAGTAGCTGGGATTACAGGCACCCACAACCATGCCTGGCTAATTGCTTTCTTTCTTTCTTTCTTTCTTTTTTTTTTTTTTTTTGGCTTTTTAGTAGAGATGGGGTTTCACAGTGTTGGCCAGGCTGGTCTCGAACTCCTGACCTTAGGTGATCCACCCACCTTGGCCTCCCAGAGTGCTGGGATTAAGGCTTGAGCCACCGCACCCAACCTGTGTTTCTTTTTTAAGCAAGAAAACAAATGCCTCTCCCCAGCACTCACTAAACCAATCCCTCTTTTTTTTTTTTTCCATAGGATTCTTATCCTTCTTGCCCCAGTGCAAACAATCTATTTTCTTTTGGCCCCTCTGTCCATCTGTGAAAGGGTCAGGCTTTCTAGCTAATCCTTAATCAAATATTTTTGATGACCACAGTCAAGACAGTACTTATTATTTTTTTTTGAGATGGAGTTTCGCTCTTGTTGCCCAGGCTGGAGTGCAATGGCGCAATCTCAGCTCACTGAAACCTCTGCCTCCAGGGTTCAAGAGATTCTCTTGCCTCAGCCTCCCAAGTAGCTGGGATTACAGGTGCACAACACCACGCCCAGCTAATTTTTGTATTTTTAGTAGAGATGGGGTCTCTCCATGTTGGTCAGGCTGATCTCGAGCTCTTGACCTCAGGTGATCTACCCACCTCAGCCTCCCAAGGTGCTGGGATTACAGGGGTGAGCCACCCTGCCCGGCCAAGACAGTGCTTATTAATGCCTGAAATGCATTCAGGAGCACATGAGCTGGCTGTGGCTGTTCTAACAAAGTTCCCCAAATGGGTGGCTCAGGACACCAGAAAGTCATTCTCTCCAGTTCTGGAAGCTTGATGTCTGAAACCCGGCAGGGTCATGCTCCCTCTGAAGGCTCTAGGGATGAATCCTTCCTTGCCTCTTGTGGCTTCTGGTGGCTGCTGGCAATCCTTGGCTTGTGGCCACATCATTCCATTCTCTTCCTTCATTCTCATGTGGCCTTCTCCCCTGTGTGTCTCTGTCTCTTCTTCTCTTCCCGTGAGGATGTCATTATTACTCCATTTAAGGTCCACGCTATTCCAATATGACTTCTTTGTAATTATATCTGCAGTGACCCTATTTTCTTTTCTTTTTTTGAGATGGAGTCTTGCTCTGTTGCCCAGGCTGGAGTTCAGTGGCACAATCTCAGCTTGCTGCAACTCTGCCTCCTGGGTTCAAGTGATTCTTCAGCCTCAGCCTCCAAAGTAGCTAGGGTTACAGGTGCATGCCACCATGTCTAGCTAATTTTTATGCTTTTAGTAGAGACAGAGTTTTGCCATGCTAGCCAGGCTGGTCTCGAACTCCTGACCTCAAGTGATCCTTCTGCCTCAGCCTCCCAAAGTGCTAAGATTACAGGCATGAGCCACCATGCCCCACCCCTATTTTCTAATAAAGTCACATTCTGGGATTCCTGGTGAATGTGAATTTTTGGAGGACAGTATTCAGTCTAGCGAAAGGCAGGGCATCCTCATTTTCTTCCCTACTTCAGAAATAAGGAAGTTAACTTCAATCCTTGGAGAGAGAGAGAGACTTCCTGAGCTTCCAACAATCAATTATCCAAATATTAGTCGCAGAAGAGCACTAAGGGTTGTGCACAGCACGTTGCCAGCCCGTTCTCCGAGTCTCAAGTTTAAGGTGAACGCTAATCCTGAATGAGTTTTAAAATGTGTTTGGCATTTCCTCGTCATTGTAAAATGTTCTCACATCGTGATGGCTGGGCCTTCCCTCTCAGGTGTAATCTGCGAAGTCAGACGTGACATAGCCTGGGTGAGGTGGGCCAAGCTGGGAACTGGGTTAGGAGGGAAGCTGGGGAATGAGCGCCAAGGTCTCAGATCCCAAAATGGCTTTAGCCTGATTCGCCCAGAGGGACCTGGTAAAAAATACACATTCCAGAGCCCACCAAGGACCTAATGAATCAGAATTACCTGGGAAGGAGCCTGGGGAGCTCTGTTTTCAGAAGCAGCCCAGCAGAATCCTACCGTCAGACAGGGCTAGGAAACCGAGCTCAGTCTAGGGCAGTAGTTCCCAAACTCGTCTGTGCTTCAAAAAATACAGATGCTGATGGCCAGGCATGGTAGCTCAGGCCTGTGATCCCAGCAATTTGGGATGCTGAGGCGGGAGGATCACTTGAGCCCAGGAGTTTGAGACCAGCCTGGAGAACATAGGGAGATACTGTCGCTATAAAAAATTAAAAAATTAGCCAGGCATAGTGGTGCCCGCCTGTGATCCCAGCTACCCTGGAGGTTGAAGTGGGAGGGTTGCTTGAGCCCAGGAGTTGGAGGCTGTAGCGAGCTATGATTGTGCCCCTGCACTCCAGCCTGGGTAACAGAGTGAGGCTCTGTCTCAAAAACCAAACAGAACAAAAAACAAAAAACAGATGCTATGTCCCATTCCAGAGGTTGAGGTTTAGTTATTCTGGGGTGGGGTGTGGCCTGGGTTTTAGAACACTTAGAAAATCCCAGGTGATCCTAAAGTGTAGATGAGTTTGGAAAGCACACATCTAAGGCACACTTGAATGGGGGAGCAGTGAGGTGGTGTGGGCTAGCCGGCCAGAACCCAGGGGTGGGGCGGTAGGAACCAGCATAGCAGAGGCCATTAAGGCTGGGAAGCATAGTGTCTGGGGCCCATAACAGTGCTTGAACGTGAATGCTTTAGACCTAAGACAATTGGCTCCTAAATGTGAAAACTGCAAGCCTGAAATGAATGCATGTTTAATGCTTTGCAACATTGTCAAGTGGTTAGCTGCCACTCCGTTCTGAGGGCATGATGCCTGAGATATGCCTGTAATGGAGGTTGATTTTAATGAATTTAATATGGTGTGGAGTGGGACCTTCAAAAGTAAAAATGTCCATTCTAAGTTGGTTGCGGGGGTCTGGGCAAAGGTCTTAAAACACTGTGGTAAACACCCCAATTTTAAAACAGGGCCTTTTTTCCAAGAGACTTTTTGAAAATAGCTCCTATTTTGAGGGGAGGAACCCTGTCAGGAGAGAGCCAGAGTTAAGCCCAGCTGAGAGGGGGTTGGCAGGCAGGGGTCTGCCTGGTCCTCACTGAAGCTTGCTACTCAGGGTGAGCTTCCTAAACCAATGCAGATTTGCTGGCCCACTGAGCCTCCCAGCTGAGAACATGCATTTCAACAAGGTCCTCAGTGCAGCAAAGTTTGAGATATACTGGGCTAGAACACCCAGGGGACACAAAGGTTCTTTGAAAACTAAGGAAAATAGGCAGGGTGTGGTGGCTAATGCCTGTAATCCTTGTATTTTGGGAGGCCAAGGTGGGTGGATCACTTGAGGTCAGGAGTTCGAGACCAGCCTGGACCAACATGGTGAAACACCATCTCTACAAAAGATACAAAAATTAGCCAGGTGCAGTGGCAGATACCTGTAGTCCCAGCTACATGGGGAGCTGAGACAGGAGAATCGATTGAACCTGGGAGGCGGAAGTTGCAGTGGCCCGAGATCGCACCACTGCACTCCAGTCTGGTGACAGAGTGAGACTCCATCTAAAAAAGTAAAAAATAAAATAAATAAAAATAAATACTGGGCTAGAAGACCCAGGAGACCCAAAGATTACCTCAAAACTAAGGAAAATAATCTAGGTCACAAATATATTCTCTTTCTCCTTCTCCCCATTGCCCCCCTCCACCAGTAATCTTTATACACTCAAATAGAGTTGATGTTCTATAATCAATTCTAGTGACTTTTATTTATATTTATTTATTTTAGAGATGGGGGTCTCACTATGTTGCTCAGGCTGGTCTCAAATTCCTGGGCTCAAGTGATCCACACACCTCGGTCTCCCAAAGTGCTGGGATTACAGGAATCAGCCACTGCACCTGGCCATCACTTTTATTTTTGATGTTCAAATTCTAAGCTAATGTCTGTGAGACCATAGATTCTTTTTATGCACTCAATACATTTTTGTGTTTACCTTACATTTTTATTATGGAAAAGATTCTGTTTTTTCCAACTTGTTTCTATTTGATAATGAAGCTCTCTGTGCCTATCACCAGCCTCAGCCGCCATCATCTCATTACCAAGCTGGGTTATTTTGAAGCAAATATCTTCAATATTTAGCCAGTCTTCAAATTTCCCCAACCATCCTAAATGAGTGTTTAGAATAGTTATTTCATTGGAAACAAGGTCAAAACAAGTACATTTTACATTTTTAGGCCAGTCTTGAAAGTAAGGATAAAACCATGTGTGGGGTAGGAGGTGGGACTAGCCTCTCAAGGTGGGGCCTGGATACCAGACCCAATTGAGGACTAGCTAAGACAGATTCCACAATGAATAACACCAGGAGGTGGGAATATTAAGGTCTATTGCAAAGGTTGTCTACCACAATTATTTGATCAACTAGTTATCAACCCTGACTGCAGCTGAGAGAGATTTGTTTTTGCTTTTTTTTTTTTTTTTTTTTCAGAGACAGGGTCTTGTTGTGTTGCCCAGGCTGGACTCAAACTCCTGGGTTCAAATGATTCTTCTGCCTCAGTCTCCCGAGTAGCTGAGACTACAGGTGTGTGCCACTGTGCCCAGCAAGATATTAAAAAATACTTATGCGAGGACACCACTCTAAACCAACTAAATCAGAATCAGATATAGTGAAGTCATTAATCATTTTGCTCCTGGGTCTTTATGACAGTTTTGCTCCTAGGAAACTCCTGGGAATGTGGTAGAGAGAGAGAAAGAGATGGGAAAATAAGATTTTAAGAAGTGTTGCTATGCATTTTGAAAATAGTTTTTCTTTGGTGTTTGTCTTGAGGGACGGCGGTAAACATTTCAATTGCCTTTAAGTATGCTTGCATGCTGGAATGATGGCTCTTTGAATGCGGCATCGAACTGGGATTGGGCCACATGGCAGCCAGCATGAGCCTTTATGCCACATTTATAAAACATGAATGTCATGAGCCCACTCTCAGGGACCTTACAATTTGGAGGATTAGGTCAGATCCACAAGTCTCCTCTATCTCATGGTAAAGGAAACCTGGCATGTAGCAGGAGATGGTGTGAAACAATATCATATTGCATAATCAATATTTGTATTCTTCTTAGCAATATTAAACTTTTTGACCCCCTCCATTGTGTCATCAATCTGCTTAATACAGTTTCTGCTTCAGCGTCGGTTTTTCGGCCTGGCATAAGCTGTTTGAAACCCAGGCACGTACCCTGCCCATCATCTTTGGCCTAGTTAACACCTCCCCTCCCTGAGTGGTGGTTTGGAGAACCTGCTTGTTCCTCATCCCACTGATCCCAAACCCAGGACACCCCACAGCTGCTGACCAGGATTAAACGTAACGGAGATTTAATGCCTTTCTTCTGATTCTCAGGGACTGACATTCATTCACTTAAATACTTGCAGAGTCAGCCAGGCATGGTGGCTCACACATGTAATCCCAGCACTTTGGGAGGCTGAGGTGGGTGGATCACGAGGTCAAGATTTCGAGACCAGCCTGGCCAACATGATGAAACCCCATCTCTACTAAAAATACAAAAATTAACTGGTGTAGCAGTGCGTGCCTGTAATCCCAGCTACTCAGGAGGCTGAGGCAGGGGATTTGCTTGAACCTGGGAGGTGGAGGTTGCAGTGAGCCAAGATTATGCCATTACACTCCAGCCTGGGCAGCAGAGTGAGACTCTGTCTCAAAAAACAAAAAACCCAAAAACTTGCAGAGTGAATTTAAGAAACCATGAAGTCCAGAGTTTGATCCAATCTCTTCCTTTTTCTCTTTCTCAAATATTTTCAGCCAGGTACTATTCTAGATTGTCTTGTGATATTTACAATCTAGGAGAAGGCAGGAGAGAGAACTAAGAACAGAGAGCATGTTCTGAGATGTCTGCTGTGTTTGCAGGTACCTTCCCTCAATTTCCCTACTCATTGGCCATGCTAGAAAGCAGGTCTTGGCGCCATATTTGTACCATGGTACTTCCCCTCCCTATACTCAATTGGTTGGCCAGAAGCCCAATTGTCATTCTCTCTCTCTCTCTCTCTCCCTCTCCCTCTCTCCCTCTCCCTCCCTCCCTCTCCAAGATATCCAGTAACTGACTGATCAGCTGGTGGTGGGTTCTGCTGGCTGCCATGATGGGCCACCAGCAAAAAGGGAAAATTGGTTGTGAGTGAGAGAAGCGGAGATAAGAAAGGCCACAGGGCTGAAAAGAAAGACCATGGGCTGCCGGGTGCTGTGGCTCAAGCTTGTAATCCCAGCACTTTGGGAGGCCAAGATGGGCGGATCATGAGGTCAGGAGATCGAGACCATCCTGGCTCACACGGTGAAACGCCATCTCTACTAAAAATACAAAAAATTAGCCAGGTGTGGTGGCGGGTGTCTGTAGTCCCAGCTAGTTGGGAGGCTGAGGCGGGAGAATGGCATGAACCCCGGGAGGTGGAGCTTGCAGTGAGCTGAGATCGCACTACTGCACTCCAGCCTGGGCGACAGAGCAAGACTGCGTCTCAAAAACAAAAACAAAAAAAAAGGAGACCATGGGCTTCTGAGAGCCAGAAAGAGGCATTTTGGTTTCTGTAACTGCTGTTTCCATTCTCTCATGGCCTCTCATTTATTTCTCGTGCTCATGAGTTTGCCTGTTAGAGATAAGGTATGCTCCTTTCCCTCCAGCTCATGCAAATGGATTTGTTTCTTACAATCATTGTTCCCAGATATGGATGGTGAATGATGCTCTACTAAATGTTGAAAAAAAGCAGAGTGGAAGCACAGAAAAGAGGGCTTCTCTGAGGAGGTGACGTTGGAGCCCGGTTGGAAGGCAGGAGTAAATGTGCACCATGATTTTTTAGGATTAAAACGAAGTATCTCACTGCTTGGGCACATGCAGATAGATGTGATTTAACAATAAACTGTCCCAGTTGTACCCATTGTCAGTTACCTCACCACAGGGATTATGTAGCCCTGAGTTTGCTTAGTGCTTATTTATTTTAGGTTGTTGTTTATCCAAACCTCTTAAATGATATGCGTTTGGAACAAGTGACAGCATCATTCATTGATGTCGTGGACAAACCACTATTTTATTACTCAAGACTGGGTAATTTTAAAGAAAAAGAGATTTAATGGGCTCACAGTTCCATGTGGCTGAAGAAGCCTCCAAATCATGGTGGAAGGCAAAAGGCACATCTTACATGGTGGCAGACAAAAGTGATGAGAGCTATTTTGGTCATTGTTCACTGGCCATAGAATTTACTTCTATATTTTGAACTAAGACAAGAGCCAGGCACACTAGATGGGTACAGGTCTGTCTTTTGTTTTTGATGATGATGATGATGATGATGATGATGATGATGATGAAATGGCTGACATGGTTGATGACTTGCTTTTTCTCATCATCTCAGACTTAGATTTTTGGCTGGACTATTGGCTTGGGATAGATGAAAATCATTCCTTGTATCCCCTGATCTTAAAGTCAAGACTGAACCAGCCTCCAGATGCAAGCCTTCATGGGGCTTCAGATACCATGAGGAATGGGCGTCCCTGCAATATTGTCATGGCTGTCAAAAGTGTTATTGGAGCTGGGCAAGTGGGCGCTCTCCTGACATTCCATCCTGCTTAGATTTCCCATTCAACATCAATCTTATTTCCTTTTTTTTTTTTTTTTTTTTTGACAGAGTCTCACTCTGTCTCCTAGGCTGGAGTGCAGTGGTGGGATCTCGGCTCACTACAATCTCCACCTCCCAGGTTTAAGTGATTCTTGTGCCTCAGCCTCCCAAGTAGCTGGGATTGCGGGTGCACACCATCAAGCCTCTCTCTCTTTTTTTTTTTTTTTTTTTTTTTTTGGATTTTTAATAGAGACAGGGTTTCGCCATGTTGGCCAGGCTGGTCTTGAACTCCTGACCTCAAGTGATCCACCTACCTTGGCCTCCTAAAGTGCTGAGATTACAGGTGTGAGTCACCCTACCTGGCCCCATTTCCTCTTATACCATAAGTCATTGCCTGCAGATGTGTTTTCTCCATTAGTTTGCAAAAGCTTCCTGAGAGTAGGTCTGTGCCTCATTTATTCTGGAATCTTCCTGGCACAAAGCACAGGGCTTTATCCTCAGTAAGCATTCAACAAATGTTTAATTTCATTCAACAGCTCCTCTTACCACTGCCCCCACCTTATTTGCAGGTGGCTAAGTACAATCAGAACAAGTAGGTATCATAAGATTTAGTCCAGAATCAATTTGGGAAGAAATTACTTTAGTGATATGAAAAGAAACCAAGCTATTTAGTCGGAATACTTCTGAGAGTATCCCCTGTCCAAGCATTTGCTGAATTTCGATCTACTAATTTTCAGGTGGAACAGTATGGTTGCAGAGAGTCCATTTGGACATAGATACACTTTCATGCATTCATGTCTTCAACAATAATTTGTGGCCCTACTGTGTTTGTTCACTAACTCCTTCGAAACTACCATATAAGCTATATCTTTATTTTCCTTGTAATTTGGGAGGTCCAGTGCTTCATTAAGCTCACATGCCTGAAACTAATGAAGAAAATAGCTCGTTAACCAGCTAGTATAAAAATAGCCACCAAAACA
The DNA here is from genome assembly GCF_000001405.40 of Homo sapiens. Lineage (NCBI taxonomy): Eukaryota > Metazoa > Chordata > Mammalia > Primates > Hominidae > Homo > Homo sapiens. The sequence continues at coordinate 125,871,069 of NC_000003.12, read as the reverse complement.
AGTCAATCACCCACCTTAAATCAGCCCAGTACTCCCATCTTGAGCGGAGAAGCCCATTCTGAATCACAGTCAAGACAGTGATGGAAAAACAGCTCTCTCTGGGTATCAAAACCACGCTCGCCCCAAATCCTCCTCCCCAGAGTTCTACTCATTGCTCACCCACTGAACCCAGAACAAACCAGAAGTGCTTGAAATGAGGACGAGTAGCTCCGTGTACCAATCGGAATTTAAAACAATCAAGTCCTGCTATAGACGTGAGGCTTCTCCCCAGCACCAGCATTCCATGAAGGCAGCCCTTTTCTAGATGGAGAAAACAGAACCTGAAGGCACCCGTTTCCCTAAACTGCTCTCACTCATGTGTAAGTACAAATGAAAAATGCTGACGCTGCTTCTGTTGGCATTGATTTTTAATTATGGCCATGAATAAATCATTTTATCCTTGAACAAGACTTGAGAATGGCCCGAAGGCAGAGGCACGATTCCTTAGGAATTAGGCCAACAGAGAATGGGCTATCTCTCTTCCCACCCCTTCTTTTTTTTTTTTTTTTTTAATACTTTAAGTTTTAGGGTACATGTGCACTTTGTGCAGGTTAGTTACATATGTATACATGTGCCATGCTGGTGTGCTGCACCCACTAACTCGTCATCTAGCCTTAGGTATATCTCCCAATGCTATCCCTCCCCCCTCCCCCCACCCCACCACAGTCCCCAGAGTGTGGTATTCCCCTTCATGTGTCCATGTGATCTCATTGTTCAATTTCCACCTATGAGTGAGAATATATGGTGTTTGGTTTTTTGTTCTTGCGATAGTTTACTGAGAATGATGATTTCCAATTTCATCCATGTCCCTACAAAGGACATGAACTCATCATTTTTTATGGCTGCATAGTATTCCATGGCGTATATGTGCCACATTTTCTTAATCCAGTCTATCATTGTTGGACTTTTGGGGTTCTGCTGACACAGTTTTACCCCAGCCTGCCTTGATGGCCACTGCCACACAAGCTGCATCTGTTCTTTCTTCTGCGCCTTTTGTTACTTCGTTGTTTTTCTTCTTTCTAGTGTAGTGAGCTGAATGGTGGCTTTGCACAAGATATATCCAGATCCTTGTGCCTAGAATCTGTGGAGGTGGCATTATTTGGAAAAAGGGTCTTTGCAGATGTAATTAAGTTAAGGATCTTGAGATGAGATTCTCCTGGAGTATTTTAGGTAGGCTGTACATCTAAAGACAAATGTCCTTATAAGAGGACACTTTTGTCCGGGCACAGTGGCTCATGCCTGTAATCCCAGCACTTTGGGAGGCTGAGGTGAGTGGATCACCTGAGGTCAGGACTTCGAGACCAGCCTGACCAACATGGAGAAACCCCATCTCTACTAAAAATACAAAATTAGCCGGGCATGGTGGCGCGTGCCTGCAATCCCAGCTACTGGGGAGGCTGAGGCAGAAGAGTTGCTTGAACCCAGGAGGAGGAGGTGGCAGTGAGGTGAGGTCATGCCATTGCACTCCAGCCTGGGCAACAAGAGTGAAACTCCATCTCAAAAAAAAAAAAGAAAAATGAAGGACACTGTTTTTCACGTGCATCCGTGTGAAGAGACCACCAAACAGGCTTTGTGTGAGCAATAAAGCTGTTTATTTCACCAGGGTGCAGGCAGGCTGAGTCCAAAAAGAGAGTCAGTGAAGGGAGATAGGGGTGGGGCTGTTTTATAGGATTTGGGTAGGTAAAGGAAAAAGGGGTTGTTCTCTGGCAGGCAGGAGTGGTGGGGGTCACAAGGTGCTCAGTAGGGGAGCTTTTGAGCCAGGATGAGCCAGGAGAAGGAATTTCACAAGATAATGTCATCAGTTAAGGCAGGAACAGGCCATTTTCATTTATTTTGTGGTGGAATGTCATCAGTTAAGGCAGGAACCGGCCATCTGGATGTGTACGTGCAGGTCACAGGGGATATGATGGCTTAGCTTGGGCTCAGAGGCCTGACGTTCCTGTCTTCTTATATTAACAGGAAAAATAAAACGAAATAGTGGTAAAGTGTTGGGACGGCGAAAATTTTTGGGGATGGTATGGAGAAGTAATGGGCGATGTTTCTCAGGGCTGCTTTGAGCGGGATTAGAGGCAGCGTTGGAACCTAGAGTGGGAGAGATGAAGCTGAAGGAATATTTTGTGGTAAGGGGTGATATTGTGGGGTTGTTAGAAGAAACATTTGTCATTTAGAATTATTGATGATGGCTTGGATACAGTTTTGTATGAATTAAAAACTAAACAGAATAAGAGAAGGAGAAAAGCAGGTATTAAAGGACTAAGAATTGGGAGGACCTAGGACATCTAATTAGAGAGTGCCTAAGGAGGTTCAGCATAGCCTTGCCAGCAAAGATTATTTAAGAGTTAAGAGTGGCGGTTTGGGCATAGCACCAGGAGCTATCAGCTGCGATGGCTTGGAGAAACAGTGTAAACTGGCAGTGTAAACAAGAGCAGGGCATGTATGAGTAGTTGAGAACGGTGAATAGGAGTATGACTAGAGAGAAGATAGTAGGGATGACAAGTTTTTTGGGGCACATTCCAAGTTGGTGTGGTGTCTGGAATGAGACTGGGGCCTAATAAAAAGGAGCATCTATACAGGAGCTTAAATGGGCTGTACCTTGTAGCATTCCAAGGACAGGCTTGAATTCTGAGAAGGGAAAGTGGTAAAAGTATTGTCCAGTCCTTTTTAAGTTGGTGGCTGAGATTGGTGAGGTGTGTTTTTAAAAGACCATTAGTCTGTTCTACCTTTCCTGAAGACTGAGGACTGTAAGGGATATAAAGGTTTCACTGAATACTAAGAGCCTGAAAAACTGCTTGGCTGATTTGACTAATAAAGGCCGGTCTACTATTGGATTGTATAGAGGTGGGAAGGCCAAACTGAGGAATTATGTCTGACAGAAGGGAAGAAATGACCGTGGTGGCTTTCTTAGGCCCTGTGGGAAAGGCCTCTACCTATCCAGTGAAAGTGTCTACCTAGACCAAGAGGTATTTTAGTTTCCTGACTCAGGGCACGTTGAGTAAAGCTAATTTGCCAGTCCTGAGTGGGGGCAAATCCCTGAGCTTGATGTGTAGGGAAGGGAGGGGGCCTGAATAATCCCTGAGGAGTAAAAGAATAGCAGATGGAACACTGAGAAGTTATTTCTTTGAGGATAGATTTCCACGCTGGAAAGGAAATGAGAGGTTCTAAGAGGCGGGCTAGTGGCTTGTACTATAGGATAGCCTGCCTTTGCTGGTGTGTGGCAATTAGGCCTGGTGGAACTGCCATCAATAAACTAAGTGTGATCAGGGTGAGAAGCAGGAAAGAAGGAAATGTGGGGAAATGGGGTGAATGTCAGGTGGATCAGAGAGATACAGTCATGAGGGTCAGGTGTGGTATCAGGAATAATGTGAGAGGCTGGATTGAAGTCCGGGCCAGGAACAATGGTAATTGTGGGAGACTCAACAAAGAGTGAGTACAGCTGAAGGAGCCAGGGAGCAGAAAGTATATGCGTCAGGTGTGAGGAAGAAAATAGATTTTGGAAATTATGAGAGCTGTAGAGAGTGAGTTGAGCATAGTTTGTGATTTTAACGACCTCTAAAAGTATTAGGGCAGCAGCAGCCACTGCACAGAGACATAATGGCCAGCCTAAAACAGTAAGGTCAAGTTGTTTGGACAAAAAGGCTACAGGAAGCAATCCTGGTCCTTGTGTAAGAATTTCGACTGCACAGCGCTGCACTTTGGCTGTGTGTAATGAAAAGGGTTGGGATGAGTCAGGGAGAGCTAGGGTAGGGGCAGTCTTTAAAGCTGTCTTCAAGGAACTGAAAGAGGAGTGGGGAAAGGATTTAGGATCTATGGAGTAAGCTAGGTTTCCTTTTTTGAGTTTATATAATGGTTTTGTTAGGGTGGCAATACCAGGTATCTAAAGGCAAAAGTATCCAACCATGCCCAGGAAGGAAAGGAGTTGTTGTTTTGTAGCTGGGGTTGGGGTTTGAGAGATTAGTTGGACACGATCGGCAGGGAGAGCATGTGTGTTTTTATGAGAATTATGCTGAGATAGGTAATAGATAAGGAAGAAATTTGGCCTTGACTGAAGTAATAGGGGCTGTCTGTGAAGCTCTGCGGCAGTACAGCCCAGGTAATTTGCTGAGCCTGATGGGTGTCAGGGTCAGTCCAAGTGAAAGCAAAGAGAGGCTGGGATGAAGGGTGCAAAGGAATAGTAAAGAAAGCATGTTTGAGATCCAGAACAGAATAATGGGTTGTGGAGGGAGGAATTGAGGATAGGAGAGTATATGCATTTGGCACCATGGGGTGGATGGTTTTAGGACAGGTAAAATGGGGGAATTGTAAGGAGAGTTTATAGGCTTTAAAAGGCTATGCTGTAGCAGGCAAGTGATAACAGGCTTTAATCCTTTCAAAGCATGCTGTGGGATGGGATATTGGCATTGAGCGGGGTAAGGGTGATTAGGTTTTAATGAGATGGTAAGGGGTGCATGATCGGTCGCCAAGGAGGGAGTAGAGGTATCTTCTACTTGTGGGTTAAGGTGGGTGGCAATGAGATGTAGCTATAGTCCAGGAATAGTCAGGGAAGCAGATAATTTAGTTAAAGTGTCTCAGCCTAATAAGGGAACTGGGCAGGTGGGGATAACTAAAAAGGAGTGCTTAAAAGAGTATTGTCTAAGTTGGCACCAGAGTTGGGGAGTTTTAAGAGGTTTAGAAGCCTGGCTGTCAATAACCACAACAGTTATGGAGGCAAGGGAAACAGGCCCTTGAAAAGAAGGTAATGTGGAGTGGGTAGCCTCCATATTGATTAAGAAGGGGACGGACTTACCCTCCACTGTGAGAGTTACCTAGAGCATCTGTGATGGTCCTGTAGGCTTCCGAAGTGATCGATCAGGCAGTGTCAGTCTTCAGCTGCTAAGCCAAGAAGATCTGGGAAGGAGTCAGTCAGAGAGCCTTGGGCCAGAGTTCCAGGGGCTCTGGGAGTGGCTGTCAGGTGAGTTGAACAGTCCAATTTCTAGTGGGGTCCCACACAGATGGGACATGGCTTAGGAGGAATCCCGGGTTGTGGGCATTCTTTGGCCAGATTTCTGGCACTAGTAGCAAGCTCCTGGGGGAGGCGGTTCTGGAGGAACACCTGGCCACTGCACTTTAGGCGTTTGGAAGTTCTTGTGTGCTGGAGATGTGGCTGGGGTTTGTCTCACAGTGGAGGCAAGGAATTACAACTCAGAAATATGTTGCTACTTTGCTGCCTCTACTCTATTATTGTACACCTTGAAGGCGAGGTTAATTAAGTCCTGTTGTGGGGTTTGAGGGCCGGAATTTAATTTTCAGAGTTTTATTTAATATTGGGAGCAGATTGGGTAATACAATGTATATTGAGAATAAGACGGCCTTTTGACCTTTTAGGGTCTAGGGCTGTAAAGCATCTCAGGGTTGCTGCCAAATGAGCCATGAACTGGGCTGGATTTTTATATTTGATGAAAAAGAGCCTAAACCCTATCTGATTTGGGATAAAGAAAAAGGAGCATTAACCTTGACTATGCCTTTAGCTCCAGCCACCTTTTTCAGAGGAAATTGCTGGGCAGGTTGGGGAGGGCTAGTCATGGAACGAAACTGTAAGCTGGACCCGGTGTGAGGAGGGGAGGTGATAAAAGGATTATAGGGTGGAGGAGCGGAGGCTGAGGAAGAATTGGGGCCTAGCTTGGCCTGGTGAGGAGGGGAGAGGTCAGATTGGTCTGTAGAAAAGGAAGATTACAAAGACTCAGTGACGCTTGGGGTTGGGACTGAGGGGACAGGTGGGAGGGAAAGAAGGAAGATTTGGGATGAGTTGCACTGGGAACAGACTAGGGAGGGACCGATGTGTAAAAGAATGCCTGGGCATCAGTCACCTCAGACCGTTTGCCCATTTTACGACAAGAATTATCTAGATCTTGTAGGTTGGAAAAATTGAAAGTGCCATTTTCTGGCTATTTGGAACTACTGTTGAGTTTGTATTGGGGTCAAGTGGCATTGTGGAAGAAAATAAGGCATTTAGGTTTTAGGTCAGGTGTGAGTTGAAAAGATTTTAGGTTTTTAACACAGGCTAGGGGAGAAGAAGGGGGAATGGAGGGCAGAAGCTTGCCCATAGTGAAGGAGGCAAGCCTAGAGAAAAGAGAGAGTAGAGACACAGAGAGAAGGGGTGGGGGGTTCTTGCCTTCCCGAAAAGTGGGAAAGGGGTCAGTGTGCAGAAATAAAGGGTTGTGATGCAGAGCTAAGAGGTCAGGGCACAGAAATAAGGGGTTGGGGTGCAGAGATAAGAGGTCAGGTCGTGGAAATAAGGGATTGGGTCACAGAGATAAGAGGTTGGGGCATGGAAATAAGGGATCGGGCCACAGAGATAAGAGGTTGGGGCACAGAAATAAGGGATCGGGGCACTGAGATAAGAGGGGGTTCCTTCCCCTCCCCCAGAAAAGTGGGACTTGCTGCTAAGGGTGAAGGAGAAGGGGTTGAGGGGTTCTTGCCCCTTCCCCCAGAAAAGTGGGACTTGCCACTAAGGGTGAAGGACAAAGGCAGGCATCCCTGCGTGGTCTGACACCTCTGAAACCTGGGTGAATAATCACAGAGGTGTCCCTGCAATGATTAAACACCAAGGAAAAGCTGCCTTCCCTAGTCCGTGACAGGCGCCAGAGTTTTGGGTCCACGGATAAAATGTGTCTCCTTTGTCTCTACCAGAAAATGAAAGGAATTGAAATTAAGAGAAGGGAGAGATTGAAGTGTGGCATCAAGATTGAAAGGAGAAAGAGGTTGAGGGATAGTGAGGGAGGTTGGAGAAGAGAGTAAAAAGAAGCTGCTTACCGGATTGGAAATTGGTGAGATGTTCTTGGGCTGGTCAGCCTGAGGACTTGAGGTTGTAGGTGGATCTTTCTCACAGAGCAAAGAGCAGGAGGACAGGGGATTGATGTCCCAAGGTAGGTCCCCCGATCCGAGTTATGACACCAAATTTCACATGGGTCCGTGTGAAGAGACCACCAAACAGGCTTTGTGTGAACAATAAAGCTGTTTATTTCACCTGGGTGCAGGTGGACTGAGTCTGAAAAGAGTGAGCGAAGGGAGATGGGGTGGGGCCATTTTATAGGATTTGGGTAGGTAAAGGAAAAAGGGGGGTTCTCTGGCAGGCAGGAGTGGGGGTCACAAGGTGCTCAGTAGGGGAGCTTCTGAGCCAGGATGAGCCAGGAGAAGGCATTTCACAAGATAATGTCATCAGTTAAGGCAGGAACTGGCCATCTGGATGTGTACGTGCAGGTCACAGGGGATACGATGGCTTAGCTTGGGCTCAGAGGCCTGACACTCTTCCTCCAGAGGAGGAGACCCATACAGAAGAGGAGAAGAGGAGGAGGCAAGGTGATCACAGAGGCAGAGATTGGATCATGCAGCCACAAGTTGAGGAAATCTAGTAGCCTCTACAAGCTGGAAGAGGCAAGGAATGGATTCTCCCCTAGAACCTCTGAAGGAGCATAGTCCTGCTGACATTTGATTGATTTTGGACTTCTGGCCTCCAGACATTTTTTTTTTCTTTTTTTTTTTAGAAAGAGCCTTGCTCTGTTGCCCAGTCTGGAGTGCAGTTGCACGATCTTGATTCACTGCATCCTCCACTTCCTGGGCTCAAGCCATTCTCTTGCCTCAGCCTCCCAAGTAGCTGGGCTACAGGTGCCTGCCACCATGCATGGCTAATTTTTGTATTTTTAGTAGAGATGAGGTTTTGCCATATTGGCCAGGCTGGTCTTGAATTCCTGGCCTCAGGTGATCCACCCACCTCAGCCTCCCAAAGTGCTGAGATTATTTAGGTGTGAGCCACAGCACCAGGCCCAGACATTGTTTGAAGCCACCCATTTCATGGTTCTTTGCTGCAGTGGTTGTGGAATATGAATGCACTCATGCTGTTGGTTGGACTTTGTTGACCTTGTTTCTGTTATTCCCTGGCAGTTCTACAGGGCCTGGAGCTGATACGAAAAACCTCCCTTCTTTCCCAAATGGTCCCCAGCTTCCCCGTTCACTGAAGGCCCTGCAGTCGGGAACAGTCAGGACTTTGCACCCAGTTGTTGTGGGTGTTTGGCCAACCCTTCCTCTTGTGTGATTCATGGACCTGCAGCATTGCGTCACCTGTGAGCTTTTGGAATTGAAGACTCTCAGGGCTCACCCGGGAGGACCTGCTGGGCCAGAATCTGCATTTTAACAAGATGCCTGGGTGATCTGCATACACGTTCAGATCTGAGAAGTGCTGGTAGGAGAGGCTTTAAGGTGGTAATTAGATCTTTTCTCCACCTACAAGAATCTTAGTTTCTTCATGTTAAATCTATTAACTGTGGCAATGGCATGGGGGTTATAAAACAAAACAAAACAAAACCCTTACATCAAGAATGCACCCTGGTGTGTTATGGATGTGGGTGAAATGAAATGTCTGGAATTTGCTTTAAAATATTGTAAAATAGCAAGAAGGAAAAGAAAAGCGGGAACTGGAATGAGATTGGCGAGATGTTGACAAGTTCTTGCAGTGGGATGATGGGTGAATGGGGGTTCATGGTGCAATTCTCTCCCTGCTTTTTGTGCCTATGGGAAATTTCCATAACGAAAAGTTAGAGGTCAGGCACGGTGGCTAATGCCTGTAATCTCAGCATTTTGGGAGGCTGAGGTGGGTAGATCACTTGAACCTAGGAGTTCAAGACCATCCTGGACAACATGGCGAAACCCCATCTCTACTAAAAATGCAAAAATTAGCCAGGCATGGTGACAACATGCCTGTAGTCATGTTGAGGCACAAGGTCGAGGCATGAGAATCACTTGAACCCAGGAGGCGGAGGTTGCAGTGAGCCGAGATCGCACCATTACACTCCAGCCTGGGCGACAGAGTGAGACTTGGTCTCAAAAAATTTTTTAATTTTCTTTTTTCTTTTATTTTTTGTTTTGAGATGGAGTCTTGCTCTTTTGCCCAGGCTGGAGTGCAGTGGCATGATCTTGGCTCACTGCAAACTCCACCTCCTGAGTTTACTCCATTCTTCTGCCTCAGCCTCCAGAGTAGCTGGGACTATATGAACCCACCACCATGTCCGGCTAATTGTTTGTATTTTTAGTACAGATGGGGTTTCACTGTGTTAGGATGGTCTTGATCTCCTGACCCCGTGATCTGCCCACCTTGGCCTCCCAAAGTGCTGAGATTACAGGCATGAGCCATTGTGCCTGGCCTTAATTTTATTTAATTTTTTTCTTTGTTGAGACAGGATCTCACTCTGTAGCCCAGGCTGGAGTGCAGTGTTGTGATCCCGGTTCACTGCAGCCTCTACCTCCTGTGTTCAAGCAATCCTCCCACCTCAGCCTCCTGAGTAGCTGAGACCACAGGCATGTATCATCACACCTGGCTAGTTTTTTCCCTTTTTCTAGAGGCAAGGTCTTGCTATGTTGCCCAGGCCGGTCTTGAACTCCTGAGCTCAAGCAATCTTCCCGTCTTAGCATGGGAGTAATCCCAAAGTGCTGGGATTACAGGTGTGAGTCACTCTACCCAGCCTCAACTGTTTTTTGTGACTCCACTTTTTCTCCCCCTTGGAAATGAGTAGTCTTTGAGGGAATGTCTTTTTTGTCTCAATCTCTGGTTTCTTTGCTCAGTGCACCTGTGTCTGGCGCTTTGTTGATCTCCAGGCCTTTTTCAGCAGCTTTGTCCCTGGAGAGCAGGATGGCAGCTGATGGCTTCTCAGCATTTTTTAACTCAGTTTAAGATGACTATCAACAACATCTAGTCAGCATCTGTTGCTCTCGGCAGCTGGGACTCTATTTCCTTTCTCTTTCTCCACCTCTCTAACCTCTTTAAGACTCTGGCTTTGTCATGGGTACAGCATCACCTGTGTGGCCCTTAGGCTCTCTTACTTACATGTGATCTGCGTATTATGTCTGGCTTCTCAACCAGGGTGTGATTTTGCTCCCCAGAGAACATGTGCCCATGTCTGGAGAGTTTTGGTTGTTGCAGCTGGAGGAGGTGGTGCTACTGGCATCTAATGGGTAGAGGCCACGGATGCTGCTAAACATCCTACAATGCCCCGGACAACTCCCACTAAGACAAAGTAATGATCCAGCCCCAAATGTCAATAGTGCTGAAAGTGAGAGACCCTGATTCCATCTTAGAGCTTAGAGATCATCCAAGCACATTTGGCCAAATTGTTTTTGCTACTGTCCCATGAAAAAAAGACAGACTCATGACTGATGGCAACATCGATGGGAATTTTGTTTACCTCTTCTTGGTGGACTTTGGGATACCATCACTTACCATTTATGCAAGTTGTACATTGCACACCTCCAGGGGGCGCCACCCACATATTTATGAAAATGCCGCCCCAGGAATTGCACAGTACACAGTCTGTGGCTTATGGCTATAAGCAGTTGCTCTGGTTTTGGGGTTGCCCTGGGGTGCTCTGAAACTGAGAGGAACTTTATTTCTGGCCATTAGAGGCCCTGAGCATGACATTGAGTATCCTTTCAAGAAAGGAGAAAGGTTGAACAGAGAGGACCTCATTTTTATAACTCTTGACCATCATCTAGTTACGGAGCATCCACTTTTCACCCCTGGGCCATATCCATTTGACGGATGTAAAATGATTAAATTATAATATCATGGTTTACACTTTTGATAGCTTCTGCCCGGAACATGGCGGTAAGATCCTCTCATTTTCAATTGATTCATTGGGGGAGAAAATATACACGGCTGCCCTAAGACTTTCTATTACACACCATTTGCTTGACGGGATTTCTTTAGTTTCTGTAGCATAACTTATTCTAACTGGTCCTCAATCACTTTGCAATAAAAAGTGAGATTGTGAAAATGTTCATTGTCATTACCAGTGATGGAGCAGTAAGTACAGAGTTCTGGAGAGGGAAGGAATCGAGAGATTTAAACTAGCGGAATGAGCCGCTCACCCTCAGAATTGCTTTTATTCTTGGTGAGAACTGAGGGGAATTTCGACAGGGTTCAGCGGGACTGCAGGGAGTGGGGCTGGGAGGTGGCTGTTTGCACGTGTGGTCAGCACATCCAGTGAGGGGGTCCATGTACTGTGGGCAGCCCCACAGATGGAGTTGGGATTGCCCTGGACTGAGTACTGGGTCATCAGACTGCAAACTGCCATTCTCAAGACATCGAGTCCCAGGCTGGTGCAGGAGATACATTGCAGTGTGTCAGCCTTTCTTCCATCGCTCCTCTCCAATGACAGTTCCCGATTTTCCACCGAGGAGTCACTAGTACCCCACGGCATGTGTGCGACTGGCCACTCCCCACCCTGATCTGGGGCTGGGGCATGTGGTCCCAGCCTGGATGTCAATATCCTTCCACCACCCTGGCCACAGCGATTGGGTCTGAGAAGCAGATTAGCCAAAGGAGAGACAATCTTGGAAATTTCATGTTCATGCTTAAGAAAGTAAAATGGAAAGCGAGGGGAGGGTGAGGGGTCATTCTGATGATACAGTTTGAGGACCTGGATGTAGCCACACCTGTAGCTGTCAACTCTGTGCCATAGTACTGCTTTTTATTTTTTTTCCTTCAAATTTAAATACTTTCTAGAGGCAAGGTCTTTCTATGTTGCTTGGGCTGGTTTTGAAAAGTCTCTTTTGGGGGGATGCTTTCACTGCTTCACTTCCTTTCTATGACAGCTCAGGGAATCAGAAGACAAGGGAGATGACTTTTTTTTTTTTTTTTGAGACAGGGCTTGCTCTATTGCCCAGGCTGGAGTGCAGTGGTGCAATCACAGCTCACCACAGCCTTGATCTTCTGGAATCAAGCGACCCTCCTGCTTCAGCCTCCTGAGTAGCTGGGCCTGTAGGCGGGTACCACCATGCCCAGCTAATTAATTTTTTTTTTTTTTTTTTTTAAGAAATGAGATCTCAGTATGTCACCCAGGCTGGCCTCAAACTCCTGAGCTCAAGCGATTGCCCTGCCTTAGGTTCCCAAACTTACAGGTGTGAGTCCCCACACCAGTCAACACTGTGGTCTTATGCACCCGGTGTCCCCATAGGCCCTGAGCAATGATCCTCCTGCTTCAACTTCCCGAAATACTGGGATAACAGATGTGAAGCACCATGTGTGGCCCACATAGTATTCTTATGGGTTAAATTGAGTCCTCCTCAAAAGATGTTGAAATCCTAAATTCTTGTAGCTGAGAATGTGATCTTATTTAGAAATACTTATTGCAGGCCGGGCATCGTGGCTCACACCTGTAAACCCAGCACTTTGGGAGGCCGCTGTGGGTGGATCACCTGAGGTCAGGAGTTTGAGACCAGCCTGACCAACATGGAGAAACCCCGTCTCTACTAAAAATACAAAATTAGCTGAGTGTGGTGGTGCATACCTCTAATCCCAGCTACTCAGGGTGCTGAGGCAGGAGAATCACTTGAACCCAGGAGGTGGAGGTTGCATTGAGCTGAGATCATGCCATTGCACTCCAGCCTGGGCAACAAGAGTGAAACTCCGTCTCAAAAAAAAAAAAAGGAAGAAAGAAAGAGGGTTATTGCAGATGCTATTGATTAGGATGAAGTCATCCTGGAGTAGGGATGGCCCTAAGTCAATGACTGGTGTCCTTATAAAAGAGGAGAGGACACGCTGAGTCATGGAGACACAGGGAAGAAGGCCATGGATCAGACAGAAGATTGGACTGATGCGTCTGCAAACCAAGGAACACTGAAAACTGCCAGGAGACCACAGGAAGCTAGGAAGAGGCAAGGCAGGACTCCCTGACAAGTGCAGGAGAGAGTGTGGCCCTGCTGGCACCTCCATTTCAGACTGCTGGCCACCAGAGCCACAAGACAATCAATTTCTCTTGTTTCAAGTCACCCAGCTTGTGGTACTTGGTTGTGGCAGCCCTAGAGAATGAATATAAGTACTTTCTTTTTTTTTTTCTTTTTTTGAGACGGAGTTTCACTCTGTTGCCCAGGCTGGAGTGCAGTGGCGCGATCTCGGCTCACTGCAAGATCTGCCTCCCAGGTTCACGCCATGCTCCTGCCTCAGCCTCCCGAGTAGCTGGGACTACAGGCACCTGCCACCAAGCCCTGCTAATTTTTTGTATTTTTAACAGAGACGGGGTTTCACCGTGTTAGCCAGGATAGTCTCCATCTCCTGACCTCGTGATCCACCTGCCTCAGCCTCCCAAAGTGCTGGGATTACAGACGTGAACCACTGTGCCCGGCTAAATATAAGTGCTTTTAAATTAACTCTCCTCTTCTCTCCATCTTCTTCTAAATCATCATTTTTGCCTGAGCAACAGCTAGGGTCTAATACGGATGTGATGATTCACTTCAAAGTGGGGGAAGCCAGTCCCCATGTGCGCCCAAAGCTCCTGCTGCCTTGGCCCTGGGCTCAGAGACTGGACCATCATTCTGGAGGCTTGCTGAAGATCTGAGACAGGGCAGCATTCTCTGTTGCCTTTAAACAAAGGCTGGTGCTCGCCCAGGCATTTGAGCTCCACCGAGGATCTATTTGGAAGGCAGAATTCTGAGATGACCCCTTAGCTTCTTGCCCTGGATAAATGCCAGGTGTAATCTCCTCTCCCTTGGAGTGTAGGCAGGACCCGTGGCTTGCTTCTAATCTATACCTATGGAAAAGTTGAAGGGATTTTGCAGATGTAACTAAGCCCCTAATCTGTTCGCTTTGAGTTAATCAAAAGGGAGATTATTCAGGGTGGGCCTGACATCTTCAGGTGAGATCTTCAATGAGGGTCTGGAGGAGAGAGACTCCTTCCTCCTGGTTTTTGGCTTTTGTTTGTTTGCTTGTTTTTGAGATGGAGTCTCACTCTGTTGCCCAGGCTGGAGTGCAGTGGCACGATCTCGGCTTACTGCAACTTCTGCCTCCTGGGTTCAAGTGATTCTCCTGCCTCAGCCTCCCAAGTAGCTGGGATTACAGACATGCGCCATCATGCCAGGCTAAGTTTTGTATTTTTAGTAAAGATGGGGTTTCACCATATTGGCCAGGCTGGTCTCGAACTCCTAACCTCGGGTGATCCACCTGCCTCAGCCTCCGAAAGTGCTGGGATTACAGGCGTGAGCCACCACACCCGGCTGGTTTTGAAGAAGCCACATGAGTTCCACAGTTGCATGGAAATAAATTCTGCCAACAACCATGTGAGGTTGGGAGAAGACCCTAAGCCTCATATGAGACACTAATTGCAGCCGACACCTTGATCACAACCTTGTAAGTACCTGAGCAGAGGACCCAGCTGAAGCTGCAACCCCAGACTCCTGACCCACAGGAAAGGAGAGGTAATAGATGGATGTTTTAAGCTGCTAAATTTGTGTTGATTTGTTATGTAGCTTAGAAAATGAATACATCATTCCATTTTTTAAAAATCATAAGCTAATCACACCATTCGATTTTTTTTTTTTTTTTTTTTTTTTTTTTTTTTTTTGAGGCAGAGTCTCACTCTGTCACCCAGGCTGGAGTGCAGTGGTGCAATCTCGGCTCACTGTAACCTCTGCCTCCTGGGTTCAAGTGATTCCCTTGACTCAGCCCCCCAAGTAGCTGAGACTACAGGCATGCACCACCACACCCAGCTAACTTTTGTATTTTTAGTAGAGATGGATTTTCACCATGTTGGCCAGGCTGGTCTCGATCTCCTGACCACAAGTGACCTGCCTGCCTCAGCCTCCCAAAGTGCTGGGGTTACTGACATGAGCCACCGCACCCGGCCCGACACACCATTCAATTTTAAGGAACTTCCAGGTGCTGTGGTCAAGCCCCTCTTGTGTGGCATGGAGGTGGGGAGAGATGGGTTGGAAGATGACTGGATACGGGCACGGAGCTAGGTGGGAAGAGGAAAAGTGTCTTGAAGGAAGTAAGTCCCTTCAGATAAGGGAGGAGGAAGAAGCTTGATCAATATGCAGACTTGCACAGTCCTTCAGTCCTGGGGATATTGGAGGAGAGAAAGGTCTTGCCTTGTATTTGAGAGTTACCATCCCAGGCAGAGGCCCTACTTCCACCTTCTTGCAGGTGGGGCTGGAGTGCAAATACTTAGAGGAGAAATGAACACCCTTTGTAAGCATGTGAAAAGTTTCTGGAGTGGAGAGATGATGAAGCAGGATATTTGGAGTCAACAGCCAATGTTTTTATTTTATTTTTTATTTTTTATCATGCTTTAAGTTTTAGGGTGCATGTGCACAACGTGCAGATTTGTTACATATGTATACATGTGCCATGTTGGTGTGCTGCACCCATTAACTCGTCATTTAACATTAGGTATATCTCCGAATGCTATCCCTCCCCCCTCCCCCCACCCCAAAACAGGCCCCCGTGTGTGATGTTCCCCTTCCTGTGTCCATGTGTTCTCATTGTTTAATTCCCAGCTATGAGTGAGAACATGCAGTGTTTGGTTTTTTGTCCTTGCGATAGTTTGCTGAGAATGATGGTTTCCAGCTTCATCCATGTCCCTACAAAGGAAAGGAACTCATCATTTTTTATGGCTGCATAGTATTCCATGGTGTGTATATGCCACATTTTATTAATCCAGTCTATTGTTGGACATTTGGCTTGTTTCCAAGTCTTTGCTATTGTGAATAGTGGCACAATAAACATACATGTGCATGTGTCTTTATAGCAGCATGATTTGTAATCCTTTGGGTATATACCCAGTAATGGGATGGCTGGGTCAAATGGTATTTCTAGTTCTAAATCCCTGAGGAATCGCCACACTGACTTCCACAATGGTTGAACTAGTTTACAGTCCCACCAACAGTGTAAAAGTGTTCCTATTTCTCCACATCCTCTCCAGCACCTGTTGTTTCCTGCCTCTTTAATGATCGCCATTCTAACTGGTGTGAGATGGTATCTCATTGTGGTTTTGATTTGCATTTCTCTGGCCAGTGGTGATGAGCATTTTTTCATGTGTCTTTTGGCTGCATAAATGTCTTCTTTTCAGAGGTGTTTGCTCATTTCCTTTGCCCACTTGTTGATGGGGTTGTTTGTTTTTGTCTTGTAAATTTGTTGGAGTTCATTGTAGATTCTGGATATCAGCCCTTTGTCAGATGAATAGATTGCAAAAATTTTCTCCCATTCTGTAGGTTGCCTATTCACTCTGATGGTAGTTTCTTTTGCTGTGCAGAAGCTCTTGAGTTTAATTAGATCCTATTTGTCAATTTTGGCATTTGTTGCCATTGCTTTTGGTGTTTTAGACATGAAGTCCTTGCCCATGCCTATGTTCTGAATGGTATTGCCTAGGTTTTCTTCTAAGGCTTTTATGGTTTTAGGTCTAACATTTAAGTCTTTAATCCATCTTGAATTAATTTTTGTATAAGGTGTAAGGAAGGGATCCAGTTTCAGCTTTCTACATATGGCTAGCCAGTTTTCCCAGCACCATTTATTAAATAGGGAATCCTTTCCCCATTTCTTGTTTTTCTCAAGTTTGTCAAAGATCAGATAGTTGTAGATATGTGGCATTATTTTTGAGGGCTCTATTCTGTTCCATTGGTCTATATCTCTGTTTTGGTACCAGTACCATGCTGTTTTGGTTACTGTAGCCTTGTAGAATAGTTTGAAGTCAGGTAGCATGATGCCTCCAGCTTTGTTCTTTTGGCTTAGGATTGACTTGGCAATGTGGGCTCTTTTTTTGGTTCCATATGAACTTTAAAGTAGTTTTTTCCAATTCTGTGAAGAAAGTCATTGGTAGCTTGATGGGGATGGCATTGAATCTATAAATTACCTTCGGCAGTATGGCCATTTTTACAATATTGATTCTTCCTACCCATGAGCATGGAATGTTCTTCCATTTGTTTGTATCCTCTTATTTCGTTGAGCAGTGGTTTATAGTTCTCCTTGAAGAGGTCCTTCACTTCCCTTGTAAGTTGGATTCCTAGGTATTTTATTCTCTTTGAAGCAATTGTGAATGGGAGTTCACTCAGGATTTGGCTCTCTGTCTGTTATTGGTGTATTAGAATGCTTGTGATTTTTGCACATTGATTTTGTATCCTGAGACTTTGCTGAAGTTGCCTATCAGCTTAAGGAGATTTTGGGCTGAGATGATGGGGTTTTCTAGATATACAATCATGTCATCTGCAAACGGGGACAATTTGACTTCCTCTTTTCCTAATTGAATGCCCTTTGTTTCCTTCTCCTGCCTAATTGCCCTGACCAGAACTTCCAACACTATGTTGAATAGGAGCACTGAGAGAGGGCATCCCTGTCTGGTGCCAGTTTTCAAAGGGAATGCTTCGAGTTTTTGCCCATTCAGTATGATATTGGCTGTGGGTTTGTCATAGATAGCTCTTATTATTTTGAGATATGTCCCATCAATACCTAATTTATTGAGTTTTTAGCATGAAGCATTGTTGAATTTTGTCACAGGCCTTTTCTGCATCTAATGAGATAATCATATGGTTTTTGTCATTGGTTCTGTTTATATGCTGGATTATGTTTATTGATTTGTGTATGTTGAACCAGCCTTGCATCCCAGGGATGAAGCCCACGTGATCATGGTCAATAAGCTTTTTGATGTGCTGCTGGATTCGGTTTGCCAGTATTTTATTGAGGATTTTTGCATCGATGTTCATCAGGGATATTGATCTAAAATTCTCTTTTTTTGTTTTGTCTCTGCCAGGCTTTGGTATCAGGATGATGCTGGCCTCATAAAACAAGTTAGGGAGGATTCTCTCTTTTTCTATTGTTTGGAATAGTTTCAGAAGGAATGGTACCAGCTCCTCCTTATACCTCTGGTAGAATTCGGCTGTGAATCCATCTGGTCCTGGACTCTTTTTGGTTGGTAAGCTATTAATTATTGCCTTAATTTTAGAGCCTGTTATTGATCTATTCAGAGATTCAACTTCTTCCTGGTTTAGTCTTGGAAAGGTGTATGTGTTGAGGAATTTATCCATTCCTTCTAGATTTTCTAGTTCATTTGCATAGACGTGCTTATAGTATTCTCTGATGGTAGTTTGTATTTCTGTGGGATTGGTGGTGATATCACCTTTATCATTTTTTATTGTGTCTATTTGATTCTTCTCTCTTTTCTTCTTTATTAGTCTTGCTAGCGGTCTATCAATTTTGTTGATCTTTTCAAAAAACCAGCTCCTGGATTCATGGATTTTTTGAAGGGTTTTTTGTGTCTCTATTTCCTTCAGTTCTGCTCTGATCTTAATTGTTTCTTGCCTTCTGCTAGCTTTTGAATGTGTTTGCTCTTGCTTCTCTAGTTCTTTTAATTGTGATGTTAGGGTGTCAACTTTAGATCTCTCCTGTTTCTCTTGTGGTCATTTAGTGCTATAAATTTCCCTCTACACACTGCTTTGAATGTGTCCCAGAGATTCTGGTATGTTGTGTCTTTGTTCTCATTGGTTTCAAAGAACATCTTTATTTCTGCCTTCATTTCGTTATTTACCCAGTAGTCATTCAGGAGCAGTTTGTTCAGTTTCCATGTAGTTGAGTGGTTTTGAGTGAATTTCTTAATCCTGAGTTCTAGTTTGATTGCACTGTGGTCTGAGAGTTTGTTATAATTTCTGTTGTTTTACATTTGCTGAGGAGTGCTTCACTTCCAAATATGTGGTCAATTTTGGAATAAGTGTGGTGTGGTGCTGAGAAGAATATATATTCTGTTGGTTTGGGGTGGAGAGTTCTGTAGATGTCTATTAGGTCCTCTTGGTGAAGAGCTGAGTTCAATCCCTGGATATCCTTGTTAACTTTCTGTCTCGTTAATCTGTCTAATGTTGACAGTGGGGTGTTAAAATCTCCCATTATTATCATGTGGGAGTCTAAGTCTCTTTGTAGGTCTCTAAGGACTTGCTTTATGAATCTGGGTGCTCCTGTATTGGGTGCAGATATATTTAGGATAGTTAGCACTTCTTGTTGAATTGATCCCTTTACCATTATGTAATGGCCTTCTTTGTCTCTTTTGATCTTTGCTGGTTTAAAGTCTGTTTTATCAGAGACTAGGATTGCAACCCCTGCCTTTTTTTGTTTTCCATTTGCTTGGTAGATCTTCCTCCATCCCTTTATTTTGAGCCTATGTGTGTCTCTGCACATGAGATGGGTTTCCTGAATACAGGACAGTGATGGGTCTTGACTCTTTATCCAATTTGCCAGTCTGTGTCTTTTAATCAGAGAATTCAGCCCATTGACACTTAAGGTTAATATTGTTATGTGTGAATTTGATCCTGTCATTATGAGGTTAGCTGGTTATTTCTCTCGTTAGTTGATGCAGTTTCTTCCTAGCCTCGATGGTCTTTACAATTTGGCATGTTTTTGCAGTGGCTGTAACGGTTTTTCCTTTCCATGTTTAGTGCTTCCTTCAGGAGCTCTTGTAGGGCAGGCCTGGTGGTGACAAAATCTCTCAGCATTTGCTTGTCTGTAAAGTATTTTATTTCTCCTTCACTTATGAAGCTTAGTTTGGCTGGATATGAGATTCTGGGTTGAAAATTCTTCTCTTTAAGAATGTTGAAAATTGGCCCCCACTCTCTTCTGGCTTGTAGAGCTTCTGCTGAGAGATCAGTTGTTAGTCTGATGGACTTCCCTTTGTAGGTAACCCGACCTTTCTCTCTGGCTGCCCTTAACATTTTTTCCTTCATTTTAACTTTGGTGAATCTGACAATTATGTGTCTTGGAGTTGCTCTTCTCAAGGAGTATCTTTGTGGCATTCTCTGTATTTCCCGAATTTGAATGTTGGCCTGCCTTGCTAGATTGGGGAAGTTCTCCTGCATAATATCCTGCAGAGTGTTTTCCAACTTGGTTCCATTCTCCCCCATCACTTTCAGGTACACCAATCAGACGTAGATTTTGTCTTTTCACATAGTCCCATATTTCTTGGAGGCTTTGTTCATTTCTTTATATTCTTTTTTCTCTAAACTTCTCACTTCATTTCATTCATTTCATCTTCCATCACTGATATCCTTACTTACAGTTGATCAAATCAGTTACTGAGGCTTGTGCATTTGTCATGTAGTTCTCTTGCCTCGGTTTTCAGCTCCATCAGGTCCTTTAAGGACTTCTCTGCATTGGTTATTCTAGTTAGCCATTCATCCATATAGTTAGCCATTCATCTAACCTTTTTTCAAGGATTTTAACTTCTTTGCCATGGGTTTGAACTTCCTCCTTTAGTTCGGAGTAGTTTGATCGTCTGAAGCCTTCTTCTCTCAACTCATCAAAGTCATTCTCTGTCCAGCTTTGTTCCATTGCTGGTGAGGAGCTGCATTCCTTTGGAGGAGGAGAGGCTCTCTGATTTTTAGAGTTTCCCATTTTTTCTGCTCTGTTTTTTCCCCATCTTTGCGGTTTTATCTACCTTTGGTCTTTGATGATGGTGATGTACAGATGGGGTTTTTTGTGTGGATATCCCTTCTCTTTGTTAGTTTTCCTTCTAACAGTCAGGACCCTCAGCTGCAGGTCTGTTGGAGTTTGCTGGAGGTCCACTCCAGACCCTGTTAGCCTGGGTATCAGCAGCAGAGGCTGCAGAACAGTGGATATTGGTGAGCTGCAAATGTTGCCGTCTGATTGTTCCTCTGGAAGTTTTGTCTCAGAGAGTACCCAGCCATGTGAGGTGTCAGTCTGCCCCTACTGGGGGGTGCCTCCCAATTAGGCTACTTGGGGGTCAGGGACCCACTTGAGGAGGCAGTCTTCCCATTCTCAGATCTCCAGCTGCATGCTGGGAGAACCACTACTCTCTTCAAAGCTGTCAGACAGGGACATTTAAGTCTGCAGAGGATTCTGCCGCCTTTTGTTTGGCAATGCCCTGCCCCCAGAGGTGGAGTCTACAGAGGCAGGCAGGCCTCCTTAAGCTGCAGTGGGCTCCACCCAGTTCGAGCTTCCCAGCCACTTTGTTTACCTACTGAAGCCCAGGCAATGGCGGTCGCCCCTCTCCCAGCCTTGCTGCCTCCTTGCAGTTTGATCTCAGACTGCTGTGCTAGCAATAAGTGAGGCTCCGTGAATGTAGGACCCTCTGAGCCAGGTGCGGGATATAATCTCCTGGTGTGCCATTTGCTAAGACTGTTGGAAAAGCACAGTATTAGGGTGAGAGTGACCCGATTTTCCAGGTGCCATCTGTCACCCCTTTCTTTGACTAGGGAAGGGAATTCTCTGACCCCTTGCACTTCCCGGGTGAGGCAATGCCTCACCTTGCTTGGGCTCATGCTCAGTGCACTGCACCCACTGTCCTGCACCCACTTTCTGACACTCCCCACTGAGATGAACCAAGTACCTCATTTGGAAATGCAGAAATCTCCTGTCTTCTGTGTCACTCATGCTGGGAGCTGTAGACTGGAGCTCTTCCTATTCGGCCATCTTGGCTCCACCCCCACTATTATGATTCTTACACAGAGTCCTTTGCCTTCCAGCAGCCTCCTCTCCATCCTTTTTAGGTCAGAATCCCTCTATTTTAGTGGCCACTGGGATTCTGAAATGACCAGGTCTTTGTCTCAAAGACCTCACACATGCTGTTCCCTCTGCCTGGAACACTTTTCCTTGCTCTGGTCCCCTGAGATATCTTTCAGCTCAACTGCCCCATGCTCAGAGAGCCCCTTTCTCCCTCTCTAGTTTTAAGCCAGTTTACCCCTGTAGTCTGTGCCTGGAAAACTCGTTTTCCTCCTTGGTGCCTCCCGAGTTGTCCTGGGATGTATGTGCCTGTTAGGGTGTCTGTTGTCTGTCTCCCCGACTGGACTGCATGCTCCTAGTGAGCTGGAGGGACTGGACTAGCACAGGCCAAGTCCCTGGGGCTGGAGGGAGCAGGGCAGAAGGCACAGGCAAAAGGCCTTTGTGATCTGGAGGGAAGTGAAGGAGAGGGAGAGAGATGAGAGAGGCTGGCAGAAGATGGGCCAGGGGCCAGGCTGTGTGGGATCTTTTGGGCCACAGAAAGACATTTGAATTCTCATTTAAGAAAACCAGGACACCATTGGAGGGTATGAGTCACGTCATCTAACTGAGCTCTGTAAATGTTAATATTTTATTATTTTTATACAATTCTTTAAAAGTGATTTTAATTATTTACCTTTTTATTTTTATTACTTTTATTTTTTCTTTTTTTGAGACAAAATCTTGTGCTGTTGCCCAAACTGGAGTACAATGGCATGATCTCAGCTCACTTCAACTTCCACCTCCTGGGTTCAAGTGATTCTCCTGTATCAGACTCCCGAGTAGCTGGGGTTATAGGCGTCTGCCACCAAGCTCAGCTTATTTTTGTATTTTTAGGAGAGACGACGTTTCACCATGTTGGCCAGGCTGGTCTTGAACTCCTGAACTCAGGTGATCCACCCACCTCAGCCTCCCAAAGTGCTGGGATTACAGGGGTGAGCCACCATGCCCGACCTTATTTACTTTTTTAAAAAAGATCAGGCCAGGCACGGTAGCTCATGTCTCTAATCTCAGCACTTTGGGAGGCTGAGGCGGGATGATCACTTGAGGCCAGGAGTTCAAAACCAGCCTAGGCAACATAGTGAGACATCCCCTGCCCCAATCTCTAAAAAAATGAGAAAATTAGGCACGGTGGTTGGTCTGTATCCCCAGCTACTGGGGAGCCTGAGGTAGGCAGGACTGCTTGACACCAGGAGATTGAGGCTCCACTGAGCTGTGACTATGCCATTGAGCTACAGCCTGGGAAACAGAGTGAGACCCTGGAGCCGCCTCAGCCTCCCTAGAGCTGACCGAGCTCTGCTTCTTATTCCAGGAATGACGGACGCTGGGGCTTTGATGGGCACCGGGTGAAATGGGCAGAGTGGCGCTTACCCGGGATGGCGGTGAAGCGGGACCGGGAGGTCATCGTGACAAAGGGTGGCATGAGGTACCTGGCCTTGACGCCCTCCCCGGCTAGACGGTCCAGATTGGGGGTGTCCACATCCTGATCCTAGTCCCAGCGGAAGCCCTGGAAGGAGATCAGCAGCAGCTGTGAGTGCTCTTCCTCCCTGGGACGGGGTGGCTACTCAGTAGGACAGGCGGCAGCAGCTGGAGGGCCCCGAACCCTGTCATCCCATGAGCACCTGTCATGCACTCCTCACAGAGATCGTGGGCTTCTCCCTCTTTAATCCGTTGTTGAACAACGTCCACATTAATAATTCAGCCCAGCTCTGTTGTGGGACAAACAACCCGGAGTGTAGCAAGGTGCCGCATATTTGCAGGACAGGATGAAAGCGTTCTGGAGATGGATGGGGGACATGGCTGTACAATGTGGTGGATGCACTTAACACCACTGAATTTTTCCTTTGAAAATGGCTAAAATAATAGATTTTGTATGTATTTTACCACAATAAAAAAATTAAACTGGCCTGGCGTGGTGGCTTACACCTGTAATCCCAGCACTTTGGGAGGCCGAGGCGGGTAGATCATTTGAGGTCAGGAGTTCGAGCCCAGCCTGGCCAACATGGAGAAACCCCATTTCTACTAAAAATGCAAATATTAGCAGGGCGTGGCGGTACATGTCTGTAATTCCAGCTACTTGGGAGGCTGAGGCAGGAGAATGGCTTGAACCCGGGAGGTAGAGGTTGCAGTGAGCCGGGATTGTGCCACTGCACTCCAACCTGGACGATGGAATGAGACTCCGTCTCCAAAAACAAAAAAAATCAAACCATGTGAAATATTTTGGGCCCTTATACTAATTCCAACATTTTGAAGATCTGGGGAGAACAAACTAGATTGGTGCTTTCCTTGGCTTAGTATGTCCTGTTTTTATAGGGAGAGCAAATTACTGTTCACCAGCACTATTAAAATAGCTACAACAGGATGGGCATGGTGGCTCACACCTGTAATCCCAGCACTTTGGGAAGCTGAGGTGGGAGGATCGCTTGAGCCCAGGAGTTCAAGATGTCAGCCTGGGCAACATGGCGAGACCCTGTCACTACCAAAAATACAACAACAACAACAAAAATAGCTGGGTGTGGTTGCGTGCACCTGTAGTCCCAGCTACTTGAGAGGCTGAAGTGGGAGGATCACTTGTGCCCAGGAGGTTGAGGCTGCAGTAAGCTGTGATTATGCCACTGTACTCAGCCTGGGTGACAGAGTGAGACCCTGTCTCAAAAAAAAAAAAAAAAAAAAAGCTGCAGTGGACTCAGTGATCATGAGCCAGGCACTGTACACATATACATCACCTCATTTAATTTTTTCTCTTGTTTAAAATTATTTTTTCCTCTAATCCCCATGTTGATCAACATTTTCTTAATCCTAGGAATTTATTAGTTGAAAATTTCACATAAGAATTAAAAATTGCCTGGTGTGATGGCTTACATCTGTTATCCCAGCACTTTGGGAGGCTAAGATGAGAGAATCGCTTGAAGCAAGGAGTTTGGGCCAGTCTGGGTAATATAGTGAGAATGCAACTCTATAAAAAAATTAAAAACCCTGGGTGTGGCAGCGTTCACCTGTAGTCCCAGCTACTTGGAAGACTAGGTGGGAGGATTGCTTGAGCCCAGGCGGTAAAGGCAGCAGTGAGCTATGTTTGTGCCATTGCACTACAGCCTGGGTGATGGAGTGAGACTCTATCTCTAAAATAAATGAATAAAATTGTGGTATAATATATGCAACATTTACCATTTTGTGCATCGGAAAGTGTACAATTCAGTGACATTTTGTACATTAATCATGTGCAATTATCACCACTACCTAGTTTCAGGGCTTTTTCAACACCTCAATTGGAAGCCTCATATCCATTCAGCAGTCACTCTGCATACCCCCTCCTGCAGCCCCTGGAAACCTCTCATCTACTTTCTATCTCTGTCGATTGGCTTAGTCTGAACATTGCATATAAATGGAATTGTACAATATATGACTTTTCATGTCTGCTTCTTTCACTGAGCATGTTTTTAACGTTCATCCATATCACAGCATGGATAAGTTTTATTTTCTTTTTAGACACTATCTAAAAAGAAAAAAAAGTTGTAAAACAAAAAAAAGTATATAGGATGGAGATCAGATGTGTCCTGCAAAGCTGATAATAGTTACTATCTAGCACTTTACATAGAAGCTTGCCTACCTCTGAATGATATGCAGGTACAGGGATGACATTTATCTTGGCACTTATAGAAAGACCTGTAAGTTGTATAAAGATGTCATCCTTGGATTTCCAGTAACAAGAAGCGGCAAGACATGACGGTGTGTCCAGGTGTTCAGGCGAAGTTTAGGGATGGTCTTGTTTTGACGAGGTCGGATGTGAGACCCAGATGAGATAACCCCATTTCCCCTGCTGAAATTGCCTGAGAATTTCGTTCCAGTTATTTGTGTGGGTTGATTCTTTCAGTGGGGGGTGGGGTGGGTGAGGAGGTGAAGTGTCAGGGGAGTTCTATTGTGTATTTGCACAACTTGGCTTTCTTTTCACTTGGTGTGGTGTTTTGCTGTATGAGGAATTTCATAGAATTTTGTAATGAGTATGCAGCATAGTGGTTTGAATCCTGCCAGGCTAAGGGTCATATCTCAGCTCTGCATCTCATTATCTCTGATGCCTTGGGGCAGGTCCCATAACTCTCCAAGACTCTGTTCTATATTCCATGGGGTTGTGAGGTTCAGATGAAATAATGCATGCTGGCAGGAATGGTTACTGCTCATGGGATTTCCATGTGCTCCCCATATTCCCCAGACCCCCAGTAGTTAGATGGATCCATGCCAGGGTCCAATGCTCTATAAGTGGAAGTCACTGACATCACCTCTAGTCTACGGCTTTTGAGGGCTTGGGAATAACTATCTCATCCTCTCATCTCCTGGTGCAGTAACTATGGGAGAATCCCTGCATTAAGATGGTAGAATTTCCATTATTCTAGGTCTTTGAGTGGCCATATGGAGCACACCATACCCAGCCAACCCATTGTGGACATGGAATGTAAGAAATCAACCTTGGTTGCTAAGCTGCTGAGACTCTGGGGTTAATTTGTTACTGTAGCATAACCTAGTCCATCCTGACACATGCAGCATGCAAACCACTTACGTTGACCCTTAGCCATGGTAAGTGCTCCACAGATGTTAGTTACTTTTGGTAGGAAGATAGATTGCCTCTGAAAGTTTTGTTAGCTGATCTCATGATGCCAATGTTGCTACTTTGTAATTGGATAAATTGGACTTGGCTCTCCTTCCAGCATGTGGGAGAGACAGATGACTGAGAGACAATAAAGCACTATTATCTTCAGTTTGTGCCCTTGGATACCCTTGGTGGCAATGAACAATGCATGCTCCTCTGAGAAAACTGGACCTAAAGGAGAATGGAAGGTGATACCAGAATTGGGAATGTCCAAGGCCCAAGGCATTCCCTGGTCTGGAGACCACTTTGAGTCCATGGTTGGGAAGATTCTCCAAGGGAACATAAATGCTTTTACTATCTAGTTTGTCTCTTTGAGAATTAAAACTCTTTTTTTTTTTTTCATTCCAGTAGCTTTTGGGGTAGAGTTTGGCTCTTTGAGAATTGCATACTAATTAATTTTAGGGGTGATTTGTACATCATCTCTATATTCCTGAAACACAGTAGAAACAGCCAGCAGTCAGGCAACCATCTACCATGACCATTAAAACATCCCCAAAGTGAAACACCAGATGTGATCTGCTAGATTTAGTGGAGGCGGCTGGCTCGAGAGTTGATTATATTCATTATCGTCACTGTGGTGATTATGGCCACAACATTGTGATGCGTCTTGGTCTTCTTCTGGTGAGTTGCAGTTTGGAAGGAATAAATCCATTGTTCTTTTTTCTTTCTTTTTTTTTTGAGTCTCGCTCTGTCGCCCAGGCTGGAGTGCAGTGGTGCCATGTCAGCGTACTGTAAACTCTGCCTCCCAGGTTCAAGTGCTTCTCCTGCCTCAGCCTCCCAAGTAGCTGGGATTACAGGCGCCCACCACCACACCTGGCTAATTTTTATATTTTTAATAGAGACGGGATTTCGCCATGTTGGCCAGGCTGGTCTTGAACTCCTGACCTCAGGTGATCCACCTGCCTCAGCCTCCCAAAGTGCTGGGATTACAGGTGTGAGCCACCACGCCCGGACCCATTATTCATTTAACCAATATCTATTGAGCACGTTGGGTATGGTGGAGGATGAACTGCAGGGGAGGGGAGGAAGCCTTCTCCTGCCACTATGTTTTCAAGTTGTGCTAATACTCCACCATGGGACATGCAGGCTTGTGGTTCCCAGAGCTCCAGAAGCATCTCCCAACCATACCATCCTGACCCAGGTTCTACTGAAAAATACATGAGTCTAGCAGAGCCATCTCTGACACTTCCCTTCTTTTGAATGGCTGATCTGTCAGTCATGGGGATCCCTTATGAAAGTGCAGTGTGCTTTGTGAAACTTGAGGCTGATCAAAGAATACCATTAAACTTTGTTAAGAAATCTACAGATTGATGACATACGCAGTGGGATGGAGGTGGGGAAATTCCCAAATACATTTTAGAAATTATCTCAGAAGGAGGTAATAGTCAGACTCTTGGTTGCCAGTGACAGAAACTCATCTTACTAGTGTGGAGTGGAAAAGGGATCATGTTTTGGTCTGCACTCCCCAACCCCAACCCCAAGCAGATCCTGAAAGAGGGACAGGATTGCAAGTGGATTATTTAGGAGATGATTCCAGGGAACACCAATAGGGGAGTGAGGAACTGATTCATGACAAGGCAGGAGGCCACACAGGAGGCTTCAGTGAGCAGCTTACCACTCCAGGCAACTAGGATTTGACCCCACTGGGGACCTCTGGGAAGTGATGTGGAATACATTTCAAAGTTGTTCCATCCAGGGGGGGAAATATTGAAGCATTTATAGCCTGGCTCCCATCCGTCACTGGCTGAGGACTGGTCCCAGGGCATCAACTCTCTGGCTTTTCTTTTCTCTTTTTTTGGTGGGGGACATAGTCGTGCTCTGTCACCCAGGCTGGACTGCAATGGCATGATCTCGGCTTACTGCAACATCTGCTTCCCAGGTTCAAACGATTCTCTTGCCTCAGCTTCCTGAGTAGCTGGGATTACAGGCGCCTGCCACCATGCCCTGCTAATTTTTTTATTTTTTGTAGAGACGGGGTTTTGCCACGTTGGTCAGGCTGGTCTCGAACTCCTGACCTCATGATCCACCCGCCTTGGCCTCCCAGTGTTGGGATTACGGGCATGAGTCACTGCACCCAGCTTCTGTGGCTTTTCTGACATATTCCCTGCCTGACTTTGAAAAAACTCTCAAGTGAAAGTCTTGGTTGTATGCAGTAGCAAGCATGGACTAGATTGATAAATACCAAGGGGCCTACCACAAGATCTCTCTTTCAATCTCTGGGTGGAGACACCTCAGAGCTGTCTCTCTATCTCTGTCTCTAGCTTTGTCTGCATACTGGCTTAATTTCTTCTTACTCAAGCCTTTTCTCCATAAGGTGAGATATGTGGCCACAAAAGCTCCTGTATTTCTCACTACACACAGTTCCTGTCATCACAGAGAATGATTAACTTGTTCTGGTTCCAGTTTGGAAAAATATTCAAGGGAAGAATTCTGATTGGCCAATTTAGGCCAGATGTTCATCCCTGGACCAATCAACTGAGGCCAGAGGGGTGGAGTCATATGAGAACATGGCAGCCCCCATGAGAGCCCCGTGACTGGAGTAGGAAGTGTGAGTCTCCATAGAGGGGAGGGCTGCTAGGCTGAAAAGGCAATAGATGTCTGCAGTGAAAGGAATAGATTAGGGGATATATTCTGTTAAACCTGTTAATTGTTAAAAAAAGAAACTTTCAATATACAGTTACAGTGTACGTGAGCCGGTGGCTCACGCCTATAATCCCAGCACTTTGGGAGGCCGAGGTGGGCAAATCAGAGGTCAGGAGTTCGAGACAAACCTGACGAACATGGTGAAACCCTGCCTTGTGCACCTATAATCCCAGCTACTCAGGAGGCTGAGGAAGGAGAATCGCTTGAACCCGGGAGGTGGAGGTTGCAGTGAGCTGAGGTCACGTCACTGCACTCCAGCCTGGGCAACAGAGTGGGACTCCCTCTCAGAAAAAAAAAAAAAAAATGTTACCTTGTTGTTCCTTCAGCATGATTTATTAGAAAGGAAAAACTTACCATATGCATATTTCCTATGCACAGGCTACTGCTATGAATTCAAATTCTTAAATTCCAAAGATTAATTACAATGTTTCTCAAGACACAGAAACTGTGTTAGAATCTGCTTATAATGAGGCTGAAGTTGAGTAAGAATAGAACTGGCATTTAGTACACTACTTTCCTTCTGTGGAGTACTGTCAAGTTTAGGTTCTGCCTGGAAGTAGATGCACCTCAAGGGAGGGTTACATGTAAAGGTGTGTGTGTGTGTGTGTGTGTGTGTGTGTGTGTGGTAGTTTCCGAAGATGGGTACAACTTTCTGCAAACGCTTGTGCAGTGTAATTGAACCAATCTTTCCTTTAAGAGGTAGAGTTTATATTCCTCTACATGAATCTGGGCTGTTTATGACTTGCTTTGGCCAGTGGAATGCTGCCAAAGTGATGGTGACCAATTTCTAGCCGTGAAAGGAAAATAAACCTTGGGCCCCCAAGATCAGTAAGCTAGGCCGGGCTCAGTGGCTCACGCCTGTAATCCCAGCACTTTGGGAAGCTGAGGCGGGCAGATCACCTGAGGTCAGGAGTTCAAGACCAGCCTGGCCAACATGATGAAACCCCCATCTCTACTAAAAAATATGAAAATAAGCCAGGTGTGGTGGCAGGCGCCTGTAATCCCAGCTACTCGGGAGGCTGAGGCAGGGAAAATTGCTTGAACCCTGGAGTTGGAGGTTGCAGTGAGCTGAGATCGCACCACTGCACTCCAGCCTGGGCAACAGAGTGAGACACTGTCCCAAAAAAAAAAAAAAAAAAGTTACTAGCTAAAGAGAAAAGTCAAGCTGGGAACTGCTTAGGGCAAACCTGCCTCCCATTCTATTCAGTCACCCCTTTGCTCACTGAGATAAATGTATATCTGATTGCCTCATTTGGAGAGGCTAATCAGGAACTCAAAAGAATGCAACCATTTGTCTCTTAACTACCTATGACCTGGAAGCCCCCTCTCCGCTTCGAGTTGTCTCACCTTCACCTTCACCTGGAGTTGTCCCGCCTTTCCAGACTGGACCAATGTATATCTTGCACATATTGATTCATGTCTCATGTCTCTCTAAAATGTATGAAACCAAGCTGTGTCCCTACCACCTTAGGCACATGTTGTCAGGACCTCCTGAGGCTGTATCACAGGCGTGCATCCTCAACCTTGGCAAAATAAACTTTCTGAATTAACTGAGACCTCAGATTTTTGGGGTGCATATAGTCTTAGGCCTTGAGAACCCTCTCGTAGTTTCCATATTTTTGCCCTCTTGGATGCTGGCACCAATCAAGCCTTGGCTATCCTGCTTAAAGGGCCATTTGGAGAGGGGCTCTGGAGGGCTAGGGGCCACATGGAGGAAAACAAGGTTCCCCGGCTGACAGGCAGCACCAACTGCCAGGCACACACGTGAGGCTGTCCTGGATGTTCCGCCCACCTGGCCCTCCAGCTGCAGGTAGCCACACAAATGAGCCCAGATTAAACTAGACAGGAAGTCCCCATGCAACTCACAGGGTCATGAGCAATAATGACTTGTGGTGGTTTAAAGTTTCTAATTTTAGGGTGCAATAGGTAACTGAAATAGCCCACAAGGGTGTGAACCTGTGGAGGGTGCATTTCCCACTTGTTGAAGCTTCTCAATTCCCAGGATCCAATCCGGATAAGACTGTTGTTCTCAGTGTCCTTGATGGAAATGGCAATGAACTTTTTGCAGATTGGACCATCTCAGGGGAATCCCAAAGATGGGAAACTATTTTCTTTCTTAGAAACTTCCACACAGCATTGAGCCTTAGGAATTTCTACGAAGGATCTGAAATGAAAAAAAATCTTTTGAAAAGGTATTTGTATAGCTTCACTTCAGCAAGATTCATGGTGGGTGTTAGACTAAGTGCTGGTGTTAAGCCAAACCATGTTTTTCAAAGACTCATCTGGCCTCAAGGTTGGCGGGATCACAGTGGCCTCCCAGGATCTATCACATCCTCAGAAGAGTTGGTTCAACTGGCATGTACCCAGATCTCTTTGAGCTAGTATGATACTCCCTTGAGTCAAAGGCTGCCACATCACATCTCCTTTAAGTCCCCCTAAGTACGACCCCAGAAGCATTGACAAAGTGTGCTATTACTGAAGATTTCAGGAGGACATAAATGAAGAGATTAAACTGCAAGGTACCAAAACTTCCATCTTTGCTGAAGACCCTCATCCAGGCTGGGTGCGGTGGCTCATGCCTGTAATCCCAGCACTTTGGGAGGCCAAGGCAGGCGGATCACCTGAGGTTGGGAGTTCAAGACCAGCCTGATCAACATGGAGAAACCCCGTCTCTACTGAAAATACAAAATTAGCCAGATGTGGTGGCACATGCCTGTAATCCCAGCTACTAGGGAGGCTGAGGTAGGAGAATCCCTTGAACCTGGGAGGTGTAGGTTGCGGTGAGCTGAGATCGTGCCATTGCACTCCAGCCTGGGCAACAAGAGCAAAACTCCATCTCAAAAACAAACAAACAAACAAAAAACCCTTATCCAATGGTCATGCCACTCTATCTGGCCATGTAATTTCTCCTCCTGGCTTTCTGTAGCAACAGCCTTCTGAGGAACCTCACTCTGCCTTACAAAACCCCTTCAACTTGTACCCTTCATCAGCAAAGTAGCTCAACATGTATGCCTCTGGGGGAACTCATCCACATGCCATTTAAGGGTATTTCCAGCAACATCATCTTTACTACCCCAGGACAGCATTTTAGAGTGGATTACGTGCCTGCTAGATGTGTTGTTCTTGAGCGAGCTAGAGAACACGCTACACTTTGAGATGAATTAAGAGTCTGTTTATTTAGCCGGCGGCTAAGAAACGGCTAACGTTTAAAGTTCTCTCGGCTTCGAAGAAGGGGCTAAGATTTTCTTTTATACTTTGGTTTAGAAAGGGGAGGGGGGTCTAGTTAAAACAATTTTACATAAGTAAAGTAGGCAAAAAAGTTAAAAGGATAAATTGTTACAGGAAAGTAAACAGTTCTAGGTCTAGGGCCTTTAAGACTATTATAAGGTGATAGACTCGGGGCTTTGGGCGTTATCAACCAGATGAATTCCTGGGAACTGTGGATATTGCTCACCACAGTATCTTATCAGTTAATTGCATTCTTCGATGTGCTGGGAGTCAGCTTGCACAAGTTAAGTCCTTGAGGAAGGGGCTGCCAGTGAAAGAGCCAAGATGGAGTCTGTCTGGCTCTCTTAGCTAAGGGAGAGTCAATTCAGGTGGAAACAAGGCTAGGTCATTAAAAGAAAGGGAGAGTCTAAAAACAGAGTTAGTAAAAACAAGGTTGGGCATTACATTCCTCATTTGTGTTTTTGGGGAATCAAATCGTTGATTCTTCAGTTATAAAAAGGGGGTTATATTGAGTCTTAAGATACATAAGTTTGACAGAAGCTATGCGTTGTTTTACAAAATTAAGAAACTAATTTAATATACAAGGCCCAAATATTAGACTTATTAGTAGGACGGGGAGGGGGTCTGGCTAACTTAGTAATTAGAGTGGTTAGCTATGGGTTCTAGTTGAACATGCTTTGATACTAGGGGATGTTATTTTCTTGTTCTTGTTGGCGCTTGTCTAGATTTTCTTGCACTTTTTGGCGTGTATCTTTTATGACTAAGAAAGGTGGAGGAACAGTCAAATCAACTTTGTCAGGGTGTTTCTGGAACATAGGGTTACTTAGATCAGTTAAAGATCTGATTGGCTTGGGTGGGCTTTATGAGACTAGGGTTTTTTTGGATGGTGAACATAGACTTAACATTAAATCCTGGGATATAAAATCTTAATCTTCATGACATGCCATGCCATGATACTATTGAGATGAATTAAGGTCATGGACAGTTACAGTAAGAGGATTACAATTTTTTCTAGTACATAATTTAGGATGAGAAGCACGACTTATGGAAACAGTTGAAGATCTGGTTGATCTTTTAGAGTAGGTGGCTAAAGTTACACATGTCTAATCAGGGCAGAAAAACTGATAAGCATCTTGACAGCTAGTGTCAGGGTGATTTCTAGGACAGAGGTAAAAGTCAATATTTTGGAGTCTTTTTTCTGCACTTTTGGAGCTCCTACATTTAGTTTGGCTCTTGGAGTGTCTGAATCTTGCTGCAAGGTCGACACTTCCTGCTCCTGGGACTGACAGATTGTGTTGCTTTTCATGGGTATGGGCTGGCTTTGGGAACAGTACAAATAAATCAACTGCAAAGGAGACTTCCTTGGAGGTACTGGCCTTCCAAGTGGTGTTTGCAAATACACGTCCTGTTGTGAAAGAGGTGAGGAGAAAGGAGTAGGAAGGCACGGAGGATGTAACTGGCAAAAACAAATAAGTGAGGTAGATAAAAAGAATGAATCTAATGGCTTCACCTGACTTAGGTGCAGTTTTAAGGGGCCTGACTTAGGCCTGGGGACTTATGTTTTTAGCTGGGCTCTGTTGGCCTTTTTGATGCGGGAGTGATGAATCTAAGCAGGAAGGCTGTCTACTTTCAGAGCAGTTGGAGTCGTGAGGATGACGGTGTGAGGTCTTTTCTAAGCAGGAGTGAGTCTTTCTTCTTGGAACTTTTTAACAAACACTAGGTCTCCTGGCTGGAATGAATGGCAGGAATTTGTCTGGTCAGGAATTGGATTGGGATGGGCTCCTCGAGCAAGTGGCAGGATGATCTCTTGTACCTGTTGGAGAGACTACAGGTACTGTAATAAATTAGTTTGTGATAATTCTGCTAATTTGGTATCTCTTAGCTTAGGCAAGATAGGCAGCGCCTTCTTATACATGATTTCAAAGGGTGAGAACTTAGCCTAGTAAGGGGTGCACCTTACTTTAAGTAGGGCTAAAGGAAGGAGACTTACTTAATTTACACTGGTTTTTAAGATTAATTTTGTAAGAGTGTTTTTTAGGGTGTGGTTCATGCGTTCTACTTGCCTGGAGCTCTGGGGTTGATAGGCACAATGGAGCTTCTATTGAATGTTTAACGCCTTACTGACTGACTGAGCTATAGGCGAGGTAAAGGCTGCTCTATTATCAGACTTTATAGCAGCAGGCAGCGTATATTGGGGGTTGATTTCATTGCGTAAAAACTTAACTACTGTGTTGGTAGTTTCGTTTTCAGTAGCAAATGCCTTAGTCTATCTGGAGAAGGTGTCTACTAGTACTAGAAGGTATTTGTACTTAGCCCGGTGTGGTTTTACTTCTGTAAAGTCAATTTCTTACTTTTTTCTTGGCGAGTTTTTTCAGAGACAGTGGCCTAGGCTGGGTTTAGGACTTTGTTTGGCATTTACTTGGGCGCAGGTTGTGCACTGGAGAGCTGCTTAATCTGTTAGGCTTTGAAGATGGGGGATCTTAAAATGGCTCCTGAGGAGCTGAGGTAGCTTTGCTCTTTTTAAGTGGGTGGTAGACTGTAGGTGACTGATTAAAGTTTCTTTAAGAGTTCAGGATATGAAGATTCTAGAGTCAGGAAGAATCTACTAACTTTCCTGATTTTTATTGGCTCTGAGATCTGAAGCCAGTTTTTTTTTGTTGTTGTTGAGTATACGGGATTGTCAGGCAGATCTGGCTGTGGAAAGGAGACTATGGGCAGCAAGTTTAGAGGCATGACTGAAGTTGCGCTGCGACCTGAGCTGCTGAATCAGCTTTCTGGTTACTATGGGCAACGGCCGTATTTTCTTTTTGATGTCCTTTGCAGTGGATCACAGCTACCTGCTGAGGTGAGTAGCCTGCCTTCCTGGTAGATGGCTTTACGTACATGCACAGTAGCAAAGGCATACTTGCTGTCACTGTAAATGTTAATACGTTTATTCTACTTTATCGGAGAGCCTGAGTGAGGGTGATCAATTCAGCCTTTTGTGCTGAGGTGTTCGCTGGTAAA
Source organism: Homo sapiens (assembly GCF_000001405.40). Lineage (NCBI taxonomy): Eukaryota > Metazoa > Chordata > Mammalia > Primates > Hominidae > Homo > Homo sapiens. The sequence continues at coordinate 125,836,240 of NC_000003.12, read as the reverse complement.
GCGTGAGCTTACAACACATCTGTCTCCATGGTAACAGCTGCACTGGCTTTTCATACTTCCTGCTTGAGGAAGCTGCTACTGTCTGTGAACACGGCGGCATCTGCCTTTTCTAGGGGCACATCTTGAAGATCAGATGGGCCAGTTTGGATAGTTTCTAACAGTTCTTGACAGTCATGAGCAGGAATAGTGCAGTCTGGGTCAGGAAGTAGTGTGGCTGGATTGAAACACTTTGTGGGAGAGAAAGTCAAACGAGGCTGATCTAACTGACACTGCAAGATGCGAGCATTTGACATCTATTTGCCAGAAGCACTTCGTAGTAAGGTCTTTACAGCATGAGGAGCTGTAAGGGTTAAATTTTGGCTTAGAGTTAACTTATCATCTTCTTGGACTAGGCTTGCTGTAGCCTCTACGGCTCGCAGACAACTTGGCCATCTAGAGGCCACAGGATCTAGCCTCTTAGATAAATAGGCCACTGGGCGTCTTTAGGGTCTTAAAGCCTGAGTAAGCACCTCTTTAGCAACTCCTTGGTTTTTATGGAGATATTAGGGAGGGCTAAAGCAGGGGCTTCAGTTAATGCTAAATTAACGGGATATTTCATTCTGTACTTCTTGGATAGCCGCCACTAAGATTTTTGTTTGTCTTTTGAATGCTTTATCAGCGGCCTTTTCAGCTGCCTGTGTTGCTTGTTTTTGTTTTTTAACCTTTTGATGGTCAAAAGCTTTTTGGGCTATTTCTAAAAGCTGACTGATATTTATTCTAGCAAATCTTTCTAGTTTTTGGAGTTTCTTTTTTAATATCCGGGGCTGCCTGAGCCACAAATGCTAAATTAAGAGCACGGCTATTTTTGGGAGCTGCCGGGTCAAAAGGGGTGTAAATCCGATAAGCCTCCTGGAGGCGCTCTAAAACGTTCTTGGTGACTTATCGGGCCTTTGGACAACTTCGGTGGTCTTAGACAAGTTTATGGGTTTCTGAGTGGCTCTTTTAATACTTGCGAGGAGATACCGGTGAAAATCGTCTAAAGCTCTCTTTCTACTTGAGGAATTTGGGTCCCAGTTAGGCCGGGTAGAGGGAAAGACCTCCTCAAGGAGGTCTCTAGCTTCTCCTTCCGGTCCATTGGCTGATGTGAGGAAGTACTTTTTGGCTTCTTTTTGGATACGTTCTTTCTTTTCAGAGGTGAAAAGGGTTAAAAGGAGCTGTTGGCAATCATCTTAGGTGGGCGGGTGAGTCCGGAGTACGGACTCTATCAGAGAGGTCAAAGCCTGGGGCTTTTCAGAGAAGGGAGGATTATGGGTTTTCTAATTATATAAGTCAGAAGTAGAAAAAGGGACATAAACTAAGAAGGGGGCTGAGCGCTCGTCACCTGGAGGGACTTGTGCCTCTCTCAGTGGTAGTAGAGGGGCTACTTCTTCCTGTCACGGTCGCGATTGAGAGGCAATGGGTGGCGAGTCTACAGGGGACGTCGTCGAGGAGACATGGGATAACTTTAAGGGAGCAGGCTGGTTGTAAGGCGGTGGGACTGGGTGAGGGAGACTCCCCCCTTCTTCAGAGGGAGGCAGTACAGGAGAAGCCAAACCGGCTGAGGGTCGAGATGAAAAGGCGGTATGGCTTAGGAGGACCTTGGAGGTAGAATTATGAATGGCGCATGAGCGGAGCCATGGAGGGGGCTCCTGACTAAACTTAGCTATTGATCAATGTAGGGAAACTGATCAGGGTGGCTAGGAGTTTTAGTAACAACCGGCCACACAGCTTGAACAATTGTGAGGTTCAATGACCCTTCAGGGGGCCACTGGACTTTAAACTTTGGCCATTTTATTTTGCAGAGTGTCTGGAGCTTGCCTGTTTCAAGGCGGACTTTATAATCCTCTGAGAAACTGAGAGGAAAATTCTGCAGCACACATTGGAGAGGGCTTTAACTTTTACAAGTCTGGGAGGAAGTGTTTCTTTTTTTTTTTTTGAAGGCAATTTAATAAGATTTGAGCATAAATATTAAACCTAACATGGACAGAGAAACTTATTTCTTGGGGGACTGGAGTATTGAAAGAACAGAATCAACATGACTAGAAAGAGCAGAAAAACTACAACAGCTCATACTACTTGCTACATTACTGTAGCTTTAAGATTGAGGGAGGAGGACTAGAGCCAGCCTGAGATCTTCTGGGTCAGTTTGATCTAGGCGTTCTTCTTCTTCTAGATCTGTACTTTAAATACTTCTGGTGTCTTTATGACTTAAAGGCAAATAGCTTAGGCTTAGCTTTTTCTTTTAAGGGTTTAAGGAGTGAGAGCAGAGCAAAGTCATGGAGATGCTGAACTTGCTGTCACACCGGAAAATGAGATGTGCAGGGTAGGGGGCAGGAACGACGCGTAAAGGACTACTCAGATCATTTTTAAGATGGGAGAGTAGCCACAGAGGAACAGAGTAAGAATCTCGATGAAGTAAAGTAGTACGGGTGTGCGTTCTATTTCAGGGCACAGGAAAAGTTACAGAATGACAAAAGAGGTGAGCAAGGAAATCTGCAGGGTGGCTGTTTTGAACTTACTACTGGTTTAGATTAGAGGAGGTCTAATCACTTGGATGTAGGGTGTGACAATCTAAATACTTACAACTTTCATGGTGCTAGAAATCTTAATCAGGCAAATGTTTTTCACTCTTGTTCTTGTAACAACACTTGACTTGCTTCTGGCAGAAAAGACAGGACTGTGGTGGCCAGCCTAAACGATTGATGAGAAATTTAACCTCCTGTGACAAAAAAATCAGCACTAAGGACTTTGAAGAAGTTTTTACTTAGATGTCTTGGGCAATATCAACGTCTTGACATGCAAAACTTTGACAACTACTAACAAGACAGTAGACACTGAACAGAACAATCAACATAAACAATTGACTTTAGGGCATGTAAACAGTTATGAAAGTTTCTTCCTTTTTTTTTTTTTTTTAGACAGACAAGGGGAGGGGGTCCTGTGATGGGATCAGTCAGATGCCTGCCTGGCCGCTCCCCCTGAGGGGACTTGGGCTCCTCTTAGCATTGGCAGCCCGGTATAAACTTCCGGCTCAGATCGAGCTATGCCTGATGCTGTCCTTAAGCCTTAAGAGGTCGCCACGGAATCGCAGGTGAGGGCCCACTTGAACTCCGTAGCTTTCGCCGTGGAGCTACAAACTGGAGGACAAGCGCAAGCCCTTGTCCTCCCTCATTCATTCATTATTCACACAGAGTTTAAAACAGTTTTTTTTTCTTTCTTGGAGATTCTTCAAGAAACTGGAACAAGAGAAAGATGAGAGATAGAAAAAGAGAGCGAGAGAGAGAGTGACCGGTCTGCCAGAAACCAGGACTCAGTCCTCCAGCATCCTGGGATGTGGACTGAGTCAAGGGAGGGCCCCTATCAGGGCCACTTCCCTCCTAGACAGAGACACAGAGGTGCCTAACAGAAAACCAGGGCTCTGCCTTCTAGCGTCCTAGAGAAATGGGCAGAGTCAAAAGAGGGATGCCCTCATAAGGGCCGCTTCCCTCTTACTAGAACTGAAGTCAAATCTGACCTACCTGACCTCAGGGTCAGAAGTTGAGGACTCAGAGGTGGAATTTTTGTGGGCACCCACACGGTAGTCGATCCGCTTTCCTCTGGAAGACGGTCACCTTTCAGGGACCTGAAAATTTTTTTTCAAGTGGCGCCCCCACTACAATCCGGCCGTTCTTCCGGGGGGGGCCGGAGCAAGCCTGGCTCTCGCCTGGTGGCGTTTCTCACTGGGGCCTCCAAATGTTGTACTTGAGCGAGTTAGAGAAAATGCCACACTTTGAGACGAATTATGAGTCTATTTAGCCGGTGGCCAAGATACAGCTAATGCTTAAAGTTCTCTCGGCCCTGAAGAAGGGGCTAGATTTTCATTTATACTTTAGTTTAGAAAGGGGAAAGGGGTCTAGTTAAAACAATTTTACAGAAGTAGGCAAAGAAGTTAAAAGGATAAATTGTTACAGGAAAGTAAACAATTCTAGGTCTAAGGGCTTTAAGACTATTACAAAGTGATAGACGCGGGGCTTTGGGTGTTATCAATCAGACAAATTCCTAGTAACTGCGGATATTGCTCGTCCCACAGTATCTTATCACTTAATTGCATTCTTAGAGGTGCTAAGAGTCAGCTTGCACAAGTTAAGTCCTTGAGGAAGGGGCTGCCAGTGAAAAAGCCAAGACAAAGTCTATCTAGCTCTCTTAGCTAAAAGAAAGTCAATTCAGGTAGAAACAAGGCTAAGTGATTAAAAGAAAAGGAAAGTCTACCAACAAAGTTAGTAAAAACAAGGTTAGGCATTACAGATGGGGTCATCCTTATATTCAGCACAGTGTTTGTTCTGAAACTTCAATGGAGTGCTCCTAGTTTGATAACTTGGGCCATGCCAAATAAATTGAATTTCTCTTTCTTAACAACAGATGTTTGAATACAGCCCCGTGTCCCTCTCTGCTCCTTCCTGCCTTCCTCCTCTCCTCTTCCTTCCATTCCTTTTCAAGAGCAGGCTTTGCAAACTTTCTTGAAAGCATCAGATAGTAAATATTTTACAATTCTTGGGCCATACAGTCTCTTGTAGTAGTTACTCAACTCTGCCACCCATAGCATGAAAGCAGCTGATATAGGTTGAATATGTGTCCCCGCCCAAATCTCATGTTGCAATGTAATACCCAGTTTTAGAGGTGGGGCCTGGTGGGAAGAGATTGGATCATGGGGGTGGATTTCTCATGAATGATTTACCATCATCCCTTTGGTCCTGTCCTTGCAATAGTAAGTGAGTTCTTGCAAGATCTGGTTGTTTACGAGTGTGTAGCACCTCCCTCCTCACTCTCTTGCTCCCACTTCACCTTCTGCCATGATTGTAAGTTTCCTGAGGCCTCCACAGAAGCTCAGCTGATGTCAGTGTTATGCTTCCCTGTACAGTCTACAAAACTGTGAGCCAATTAAACCTCTTTTCTTTATACATTACCCAATCTCAGGTATTTCTTTATAGCATGAGAGAACAGCCTAATCCAGCAGCCATAGACAATATGTAGCAAATGGGCATAACTGTGTTTCAATAAAACTTTATTTACAAAAACATGTGCATGCAGGTCAGATTTGGCCATGGGCCATAGTATCCCAACCCCTGCTCTGGAATATTCTCTTCAGCCTGGATGGACATTTCTAGGTTTTTTGTTTTTTTTTTTTCCAGACAATGTCTCAATGTTGCCCAGGCTGGAGTGCAGTGGTGCAATCTTTGCTCACTGCAACCTCTGCCTCCTGGGTTCAAGCAATTCTCCTGCCTCAGCCTCCCAAGTACCTGGGATTACAGGCACCTGCCACCACACCTGGCTAATTTTTGTATTTTTTAATAGAAATAGGGTTTTACCATGTTGGCCAGGCTGGTCTCAAACTCCTGACATCAGGTGATCCACCCACCTCAGCCTCACAAAATGCTGACATTACAGGCTCCCACCACCACACCTGGCTAATTTTTGTATTTTTAGTAGAGATGTGATTTCACTATGTTGCCCAGGCTGGTCTTGAACTCCTGATCTCAAGTGATCCACCTGCCTCGGCCTCCCAAAGTGCTGGGATTACAGATGTGAGCCACTGCAGCTGCCCTCTAGATTTTTTTTTTTGACCATTGCTTATTTGGTTTGACTTTCATTTTCTTCCCCATTGTGGTAGCCCTTTTCTGAATGTCTGTTAGTTTGTCTGTCTCTCTCCTCTGTAGTCCCTAGAGTCAGATGAACTCCTCTGCAGGTGCAATGGTGTAACACTCTCTAGTGCTGAATTTTGAGCAGGAGAAAGAGAGCAAGAGTGACCAGCACTCTTGGAAACTCTGGCCTCTTGAGAATTTGGTGTCTTCTCTGCAAAGGCTGCAAACCTGTTAACCCACAGGCCAGAGAGAGAGAGAAGCCAGAAGCATGATCTGTTAAGCTTGAGTTTCATATTTGATGCACAGAGATCACTGTTTTTTGATGAGAATTAGAGGGGGAGACACGGCCACAGAGAACAATTTCTATCCCCAGGTGAGGATTCAGGAGATAATTCTGTGAACAGAACTTCCTGAGAACTGAGATGGGGGAAAATCACTGGTGTTAGAAGGGTGAAAAGGTCACTAATTAAGGCTATGACTATGCTCTGAGAGGCGAAAGAAGAAAATGAGACTGCCAGGCATGAATAATGAGAAATCTTTGATGGAATTAGCCATGCAGAGCAGATATTAAATGCATCCTCATTCCTTTCATAGTCAAAAGTTTTTGCTTAAGCTGGATGGGAAAAAGAGAATCCCATTTCACTAAGTATAAAAGAGGGGATTTTAAAGACGGTCTCAGAAGAATAAGATGTGGGGGTTTGGTGAAACTCACCAGAGGCTGAACCCTCTCCAGCATAACACAGGGATTGGGAGGAGTGGGGTGGCATTAGGCCAGGTGCATGGCCCAGTGCTGCTCTCTCTGGACTTTCTGCTCTCTCTGGACTTGTTTGCTAGCTGAGCTCATCCCTTTGCATAATTTTCAGTGCCATTTCTCAGCTTATGAGTCCTGAACTTTTGTCTTGAGGCTAGACTTCTCCTTCAAACAGCAGTCTTAAACACTCAACTTCTTTCTTGTTTTTTCCACTTGTGAACTCATGAACACCTCCATCTTGTTACATCCAAAGCCAAACTCATGGCTTGGAGTGGTAGGTGATGGCTGTAACCCCAGTGCTATGGGAGGCTGAGGCAGGAGGATTACTTGAGGCCAGGAGTTTGAAGCCAGCCTGGAAAACACAGTGAGACTCCCTATCTACCAAAAAAAAAAAAAAAAAAAAAAATTAGCTAGGCATGGTGAAGTGCATCTGTAGGATCTGTAATCCTGCTACTTGGGAGGCTGAGGCAGGAGGATCACTTGAGCCCAGGAGTTTGAGGCTGCAAAGAGCTATGATCGCACCAATGCACTCCAGCCTGGGTGACAGAGCCAGAGACCCTGTCTTAAAAAAAAACCCAAAGCCAAACTCTCTTTTTCCTCCTCCTTCTCCATGGGCTCTGTCCATGCCATCTCTGTTCTGTAAATGGCACCACCCCCTGCTGAGCTGCTCAAGGTGGTCATAACTCATGTGTTGTGCTAACTCTGCTTTTGCCCTCTTCTCCAGTCAGCAAGTCCTGTGATTCTAAACTTTACCCAACTTGTCCACTCTCTTTAACTTCACTGTTGTTATCTTTGCCTAGGGCACTGCTATCCCAGCTGGGCTACAGCAGCAGCCTCCTAACTGGTCTTAACTGGTCCTCTGCACCTACTCTTGATGCTCAGCAATCCATTTCCCACCTGGCAGCTTCAGTGATCTTAAGGTGTCCATTGAGTCTCACCCTTGCCTTTCCTGCCCATGGCACATAGAATAAAATCAAGACCCTGAGTCTTCTGCCTGACCCTGCCGCCTCTCCAGCCCTCTCCTATCTCCTCCCCTTGGCCTACTCTATTTCAGCCACTCTGGCCTCCTTTTGTTTTGTTGGACTTTCAAACCTTTTTCCACAACAGGGCCTTTGCACTTGCTGCTTCAGCCTGGAATGATTTTCCTCTGCACCTCCCCAAATTAGACCATCCTTTAGGTCTCAGCTAAAATGGTGCTTCCACAGAGAGCTCTTTCCTGACCCCTTTATAAAGTGGACTTCCCTGCTCTTCTCCACCTTAACCTCTTATTATTTCTTGTTGTGGGAAGTCAGGGACCCCAAATGGAGGGACTGGCTGGAGCTGTGGCAGAGGAACATAAATTGTGAAGATTTTATGGACATTTATCAGTTCCCAAATAATACTTTTATAATTTCTTATGCCTGTCTTTACTCTCTTAATCCTGTTATATTAATAAGCTAAGGATGTACATCACCTCAGGACCACTGTGATAACTGTGTTAACTGTACAAATTGATTTTAAAACATGTGTGTTTCAACAATATGAAATCAGTGCACCTTGAAAAAGAAGAGAATAACAGTGATTTTTAGGGAAAAAGGGAAGACAACCATAAGGTCTGACTGCCTGCAGGGTCAGGCAAAAAGAGCCATATGTTTCTTCTTGCAGAGAGTCTATAAAAGGATGTGCAGGTAGGAGGGATATCACTAAATTCTTTTCCTAGCAAGGAATATTAATACCCTGGGAAAGGAATGCACTCCTGGGGGGAGGTCTATAAATGGCCGCTTTGGGAATGTCTGTCTTACACAGTTGAGATAAGGACTGAGATACGCCCTGGTCTCCTGTAGTACCCAAAGCCTTACTAGGGTGGAGGAAAACTCTGCCCTGGTAAATCTGTGGTCAGACTGGTTCTCTTGTTTTCTGTTTTCTGTTGTTTAAGATGTTTATCAAGACAATACATGCGCCAATGAACGTAGACCCTTATCAGTGGTTCTGCTTTTGCCCTTTGCTTTGTGATCTTTGCTGGACCCTTATCAGTAGTTCTGCTTTTGCCCTTTGTCCTGTTCCCTCAGAAGCATGTGATCTTTTTTAGACCCTTAGTAGTAGTTCTGCTTTTTGCCCTTTGACGCATGTGATCTTTGTACCTACTCCCTGTTCTTACACTGCCTCCCCTTTTGAAACCCTTAATTAAGAACTTGCTGGTCTGAGACTCAGGGGACATCATGGTCCTACTGATATGTAATGTCACCCCCAGTGGCCCAGCTGTAAAATTCCTCTCTTTGTAGTGTCTCTCTTTATTTCTCAGCTGGCTGACACTTATGGAAAACAGAAAGAACCTACATTGAAATATTGGGGGGCAGGTTCCACCAATACTTCTTTCATGGATTTACTTATTTTTTGTTTGTCTCCCTCTGTATCCTAGAAACTCCTGGAGGGCAGAGCCATGCCTGCCATTTTCATCATTGCATTACCACCACCCAGCACAGTGCCTGGTACAAAAGAGTTGCTCAATAAATAAATCAGGATGAATGGACAAATACACGGATAGGCACTTTGAACTACAGATGAGCTTAAATACTTTGTGTTTTTCTTAGTCAAACATGTGCAATTAAGCATGTGATAAATTATATGATGACCACACCTGTGTCTTGCCTGATGTTCTTTGCAATCACTAAACAAAGTCAATTTTGCCTGTTTTGACAGTTCTGTTTTCAACCTAATGATCCGTTTCTTTTAACTTCTGGCTGTTGGCTTTGTTTGGGTTTGTTAGCCTGACAAAGTGGCAGATATTGGTATTTGCTCTTTTGTTTAAATGTCACGAACTTTAAAAATGCCTTTGCTTTTGGTAAGAAACCCTAGTTAGGACAGTCTAGTGGTCAGGATGATTTGGGTTCTGATGCAGTAACAACAACCCCCAAATCTCAGTGGCTCCATGCGGTGAGGTATTTGTTAGTTTTTGAGACAGGGTCTCACTCTGTCACCCAGACTAGAGTGCAGTGGTGCAATCTCAGCTCACTGCCACCTCTGCCTCCCAGACTCAAGTGATTCTCTGCCTCCTGAGTGGCTGGGATTACAGGCCCGTGCCACTACT